>NC_000013.11:88071160-88374191 GCF_000001405.40 Homo sapiens | reverse complement strand
TCTTCAAGCGGTTTTCTGCCCTGGGCGGGCCAGGTGTTCCTTGCCCTCATTCCCGTAAACCCACAACCTACCGATGCAGGAGTTAGGGCCATTATGAACATGTTACAGTGCTGCAGATAATTTTATGGCCAGATTTTGGGTGGCTTACTCCTAACCTCTGCTAATAATATTTTACCTTCCTTTCTCTCCTTTATGTTTAAATGTTTAAAAATATTTTAATATATATTATTGATATAAATTGGTTATTTGTCCCGTCCAAATCTCATGTTGAAACATGATTCCCAGTGTTGGAGGTGAGGCCTGGTGGAAGTTATATCATGGGGGCAGATTCCTCATGAATGGTTTAGCACCATCCCCTTGGTTATAAGTGAGTTTTCCCTCAGTTAGTTCACTCAAGATATGGTTATTTAAGAGATCTGGAACCTCCTTATTTTCTGTCTTGCTCCTGCACTCACCAGGTGACATGCTGGCTCCCCTTCACTTTCCACCATGTTTGCAAGCTTCCTGAGGTCCTCACCGGAGCAGATGCCAGCACTATGCTCTGCGTACAGCCTGCAGAACTGTGAGTCATTTAAACCTCTTTAATTCACCCAGACTCAGCTGTTTCTTTTTAGAGATGCACGAACAGACTAATACAATAATTATCTTACTTTTTTAGCCTATGTTATTTTTCTAATGTAGACATTTGAAGCTATAAACCTCCCTCTAAGCACAGATGTGGGTAGATTACTAAAATTTTGATATGTCCTTATATTTCCATTAAATATATTTTCTAATTTCTACTGTGATTTTCTTTACATTTACATGAGTTATTTGGAAGCTTATTTTTTATCTCCCAACTTATGGTGCAGTCAGGTGACTTTAAAAAATAATTGATTTATAACTTATTTCACATTGGTCAGGTACATAATCTGAATAATATAAATCATTTAATATTTCTTGAAACTAGTTTTATGGAATAGAATTTGGTACATTTTATAAATGGTCCCAATGTTCCTAAAATAATGTATTTTCTGAAGTTATTAAGGTATTTCAAGTTTGTGTGTATAAAAATATGTTATACATTTATATTATGTAAGTATATAATATATACACATATATGAATATATATACACATTTTGTGTTTATCAGTTGCCTTACAAGTCATATTGTTAAAATTTTCAAAGACATTATTTTTTAAGTCTGCTTATATTTTCAGTTTCTTAGAGGCTATGTTAAAATACCCCACTTTCATTGTGAATTCTTCTTCTATTTTTTTGTAAATTTTTGTAGAAAATATATTTATTTTTCTTACTTTCTTGAAGGGCAGTTTTACCTAGCACAGAATCTAGTATATCAATCAGTTTCTTTCAATACTTGAAGATATATCCCTTTTTTATTTATTTATTTTTTTTAATAGAGTCTCACTGTGTCACCCAGGCTGGAGTGCAGTGGCACGATCTCGGCTCACTGCAAACTCTGCCTCCCAGGGTCATGCCATTGTCCTGCCTCAGCCTCCTCAGTAGCTGGGACTACAGGCTCCCACCACCACGTCTGGCTAATTTTTTTGTATTTTTAGTAGAGATGCGGTTTCACCATGTTAGCCAGGATGGTCTCGATCTCCTCACCTTGTAATCCGCCCATCTTGGCCTCCCAAAGTGCTGGGATTACAAGTGTGAGCCACCGTGCCCTGCCGATATCACTTTAATTCTTATAGACATCCACAGTTTCTGTTGAGAAGTGAGTTGTGAGTCCTATCATGACTTCTTTAAAAATATTCTTTTAATTCTTCTGTGTTGCTATGTTTTTTCCTTGTTTCATTGGGCTTCTAGTATTTTTGTATTCTAATTTTGCATTTGCATTAAAAATTGTGCCTTGTTTTTTTTTAAATTCGGAGTTTTTGGGATTTTTAAGTTTTTTTGAATCTGTGCCTTGATATATTTTATTTGAATATTCTCAGCATTTTTTCTTCAATTATTGCTTCTCTTTCCTTTTTCTGTATTCTCTTGGTGTGACTTTAAATATGAATATGATTGTATGCATAAAATATATCTATTTTAATTCTTACCACCGGTGGTAATTAATTTTATATGACAATTGGGCTAGGCTATGCTGTTTGTTCAAATACTGTAGATGTATATTTAAAATGTGATTCACATTTACAACCCGTAGACATTAAATAAACTTGGCTATCCTTAATAATGGAGGTAGGCCTCATCCAATCAGTTTAAAGTCTCAAGAGCAAAGATAGGTTTCCTGAAAAAGAAAAAAAAAAAATTCTGCCTCAAGATTGCAACATAGAGACCCAGCCTGATTCTCCAGCCTGCTGGCCTGTCTGTGAGTCTCAAACTCAAGACTGCAATATAATTTCTTACCTGAATGTACAGACTGGCAGCCTGCCCTACAGAATACATGCCAAAAAACTCTCATAATCTTATAGGCCAATTTCTTAAACTTTCTTTCTCTCTTTGTATATATCTGTAAGTATACGTGAATATATGAATATGAATTGAATATGAATATATTATAAATATGTAACATATACACACCCGCACACACACACACACACACACACATATTCTCTGTTCTCCAGAGAAACAGACGAGTATAATAGGATTCTATTGGTTCTGTTTCTCTAGAGAACCTTTAATAATACAGCATCTCTGCTTTTATTCCACCCTGTAGTTTCTCTAGGCTTCAGTCTGGATAGTTTTTCTGATTTATCTTATAGTTTACTGATTCTCTCAACTGCTGAATTCACTGGTTGAATTATTTTATTCAGTTTCAGAATTTGCATTTAATTTTTTCTTAAGCATTGTTCTTCCAAAGCTAACATCATTTGTATTTATATCTTTAAACATATTAAGCATAGTTCTTTTAATGTCTATTTATTCTAACTTCATTATCTGGAATCCAGGAAGCTCTGTTTCTATTATGTGTTGTTTTTCTTGTTTTCTCATCATGTTATGATGTCCCCTCTTGTACCTGATTGTTAGCCAAATTACATGAAAAAACACAGACAAACTCAAGACCTAGAAAGGTGTTACCTTCCTCCAGAGAGTAATTCGTTTTTTTCTAGCTAGTAGGTAAGGGATTTATCAATTATGATTACCTACATCCAATTCCAGGTACTGAAATGTCTCTAAATGGTCTGTCTAGTTTCAATTCACCCTTATTCCTATTATCTATTCAATCCAGATATTGATAGTTTATCAGGACTGTCAATTTTGCTGAGCACTGAGTTCAAATTTTCAGTATTTTCTTCATGACCCTGTTTAAAGATCATTTCATTTGCTCATCTTCCCAGCAGCTTTTCCTGGAATTGTCAGATATCCCTAGGGGAAAGCTGTCTGCAATAATGAGCTCATCTCTCTAATTATTTTTAATCCTTGACCTTATCCCTATAATTTCTCACTGTATTTTAATCTTTTCAATGCCTTTCAATAGATTTCAAAAATAAGATATTTATTATACTTCTTTTAGTTATGTTCATATGAAGCACTGATCCAATTTAAATATTCTCATTTCCAGAAGGGGATATCTTTTGAATGTAACATATTGTGACAGGTAATTTAAAACAATCTGAAACTCCCTACTACATTTAATTTATATTTAGTCATCAGTAAAAGTGAGCATATCTAGAAATACTGACATTTGTGCATTTCATACTATAATTCATCTAGCCTATCCCTTCTAGAATGACAATATTCTTATTTGGAGTTAGACTGTAGTAAGACTTCAAACATTCAGGCACATTATTTAACTTCTTTGAACCTAAGGCTTTTCTCATTTAAAAAAAGACTAATATGATTTATCTCGTAATGTTGACAAAGTCATATTAAACAATGGACTAGAATGGAAGGCCCTTGGACAGTAAATGTAGTGAACAGATCTGGTTCTTTGCACCTTTATTTTTCAAATGTAGAAACAAGGCCCAGGACTTAAGTTGATTAAATGTACATTATCAAAAATTTCTAACAGAAACCCTAGTGCTAAAAAGCAGGACCTCCTAATTTACTCCCTAGCATTCCTCTAATAATTTGATGCCAGGCATTGTCAACAACAGCAAACTAACAGCTCATCTGGGTTGTGAAATAGAAGATGGACTCCCCAAGAATATCCTACTGCCAGCACTGGGCCCTGTCATCTCAGCCTCAATGTGAAAAAGACAGCAACTTCTTCTGCAGAGAGAAAGATTTAATTAAGATCTAGTGTCCATCATTCAAGTAGACATTTTTTACATCCCCTTGCAGCTCCTGTTACACATTCAAAAAAATCTCTTTTGCTGCTGTGCTTACAAAATACATCTTATAAGCATTGTACATCCATCTATGCCCAGCTATTAAACATATGCAGCAAATTTTCTATCCATGTTCTTACAATTCTTTTCTTAAAGTATAATAAAATTTTGATGTTAATTTTGTTGATATTAACCATGATTTTCTGTTTATTTGTGGATTCTTCAGTCCTATTCTTAAGAGTTTTAAGTGCTTCACATAAATCCTTGGTCATGTAAACATTATTTGGCATATGTTTAAACAGACCACTTGCATTTATTTTATTCCATAGAATGCTGAAATAAAATATCAACAATATTTTCTCCCTGGTTTCTTCACATGATAATGTAAAAGACTGAAACAATAATAAATAAAAGAGTAAGTTGCTATTCAAATGCTCCAGACATGTTTCCTCTGAAGGTCACATTAATATTACAAATTTAAGATAACCTGTATGCTTAATGAGTACAATTAGCCAGTCAATTTGCTATACTCTTCCATCTGACCTTCTGTGGATGAAGTTATAACCTAACACTTTTATTAGCTTTTGCTTTTTTTAATAATGCACATTTTAGAGTGACAATAAGTCACACACCATGGCCTAATGATGCTATTAAAATTCAACCCACTGCTCATAAAACAGTTTAAGTCTCTTTGCCCTTTGTAAGCCACATTTCTGTAGATATAGCAGTTGGAGGTGGAGATGTATAAAGGTGTCTCCAGGCTCTTCTCAGCAGGTTAGCATGATTCTTGAATATTCACTGGCACCAATTTCTTCTGTGCCACTGGCTTACCTGGAGCTATGTGAATATACAGAGGCAGATGACTTCAGTCTTCATTGACTACTCTGGCTGAATCTTTAGTTTTTTGTCAAGGTCTGATACCTGCTTTTGAGCTTCATCCTGTGTAGCCTCTATGGAAAACACATTTGGATTGGATATTTGTGGAAAATAAAAACATATTAAAGTTATAACGTCAAGTTCCTTAAAATACACAAATACTTAGGGATATTGAGTGTGCGTGTACCTACAAGTCTTCATGAAAAGAGCTAAGAGATATGTTTGATGTTTGACACCAATAACTTTTCAAATGGTTTCATGTGCCAGAGCCTGAGAAATACATTAAAAATCCTTTTTAATTTACATGTCACTGAAAATTTGTGTAGCTTCTAGGGAGTGTATGTTTTATTATAAATGGTCTTTTAGCCTCAAACCTGATATCTCCGGCCTGAAGACATTTTCAAGGTCAGAGATCAAATGGATTCCTCTTTTAGTCCCACTTTTTTAGTCCCACATCATCTTTTCCAAAGTCCTATTATTTCAAACATATCACATATTTAAAAAGAAATCAGATTAAACTCATGAAATCTTGTCTCCGAAATCCTACTACTCCAAACATAGCACATATTTTAAAAGAAATCTTATTAAATTCATAAAAATTTTATCTCTACTTTCAAAGTATAGTTTGTTGATTACTTTCTTTTTGAAAATGCCAATAGAGTTGCATATAAAACTCTGTGCATATGTTTATAACTTTTTGTGTATGTGAATCTTCTCAGTGAATAAACACGTTAACCTTCATCAATTATTTTTCCTCTAATTCCTTGTGATATATTACTTCCTAGATTATTCAATGAAAAGGGCACTATAAGCATAATGCTAGAAAAAATACAAATGTAATTAGAAAGACGTGTATCTGTTAGGAAGTGAATTCAGCATCATCAGAATAAAGAGTTTTCTATTTTATTATGTAGTATTTATTAATTCATTTATATTAATATTAAAATAATATTATAAGCTGGGTAGAGGAGGCACTTCTACCCTCAATAGGTATAGAAATTGAACCTTTGATATATTCAAATGTATTTTTACATATAATGTATATTTTATATACATAATATACATTATATATATGAGGCTATCCACCTGCACATTACAGAAAAATGAAAAGAAACTGTGGCTTAAATAAGAAAATAATTTATATCTCTCATACAGTTGAGGTATTGTCATTCCAGGTTTGATACTGTAACTCCATGTTTTCAGTTCCCAGGCTCTTTCTTTTTCTTGCTACTTTTCTTAAAACCCAGCTCTTGTCTTTATGGTTCAATATATCAGTTGGAGTTCAAATGAAAGAAGAAAATTGTGTGTGTTGTGTGTGAGTATATATATATATTAAAATATATTTGTATATATTCAATTTATTTATATATTATGTATATTATATTATATATTATATATATGTGAGGTTATCCACCTGCATATTACAGAAAAATAAGAAGACTTAAATAAGAAAATAATTTATCTCAATTTACTTGTGTATTATAAAGTACTTGTAAATATTTATATAAGTAACTTTATAATATATATAGTTATATATAATTAGTAACTTTATTATACATATTTATATAATATGCTTACATCATTACCCAAAATGTAGTAACATGGCCACATTCAGTTGCAAATGTGGCTAGAAAAGGTTGTATTTTCACTCAATGAATACAATTAGTGCAAATGAGATAAAGGGGGAGATCAGATTGCCCAGTAGGCAACTAAAATTATTTTCCTCACAAATGAATTACAACACGTCTCTAAATTTAGAATCTCTTGCTCTTTCTGTTAATCTTCTCTACTTATTGTACTATTATATGTTTCTCTCTCTGAATGTGAACTCCATTTATATTTACTTTCACATGCAATAGTTGAGGTAAAGGAAATATCATAGTAAGGAAATCTAATAATAGCACATGTCTAAAATAGTATATTTATACATTATATGTTATGCATTTAACAATAAATACTATGTGAATCTAATTACATATGGTGTAAGATAAATGTGAAAAATAGGTAAGTAACTTTAAGGGACTGTTTCTTATAATAGATATAAAAATATTTTATTAGAATGAAACATTCTCACATTTCAATTTATTTATTTACAAGCATTCCTTAATGTTGTTGTTCTAGCCTTATGTCTGGATTGCTTACAAAAGACCCACAAAACATATGAAGGTCAATTCAGGACTTGATGTTATTAAGATCTGCTATACATCAGACTTTAGTTTAATAACCAAAAATGACAATAACATTAACAACCTAATTTAATGGTGATGATAACGATTTTCAAATGCTGCATATGTTTCTCTACTTTACACTTACATTCAATTTGAAGTAAAAAAAACATATTTTTCTTTAAAAAGAACATTTAAATGTGTCAGAATTTTTCTTAAGTGGGTATCTTTATACTCCAATATCTTTCAAGAGCAACAGATATTCCTGTGTGTGCAGAGAAATTTCATTCTTCGCAGTTTGATATTCCCCCAGGAACTTTTTAAAACACACTCTCCTCCTCTAATCCACTTATAAAAATAATATACTGCTGTTTTCGATACTTTATCCAAAATATATTCTTAGTTTTACCATAGAGAAAAAAAACATATATTTTAGTAAAACTTTAACTTTTCTTATAAAAATTATTTAGGGCACAAAATTTTAATTTTAAGGCTATAAAACACTCACCCAACCTGACATATATTTCCTTTAAAGAAGATTTGTCCTCATCCAGGGGAGAAAACTGATTATTTTAAATTGCTATTTAAGACAATTTAAAATATTACTATAATTTAACACAAATTCAATAATGAGGTTAATATATTTCTTATTTGCAGTGTTTGTTTTAAGAGAAGATGGCAGGAAATTTTGCAAGATCCTAAAGTCAATCTTAAATACCCTGCATGATTTGAAAGGTTAATCTTACTTTATATCCATCCAGTACAATGAGAAGTAGAATAGATAGTTTGGAAATGTTAAGGAACTGAAAAGCAGCTCCAAAAAGTCTGCCTTCATCTATTATAAGCAGACTTCTACTCTGGCTATCATAAACTCACTAATACTCTTTTTTTGTTTGTTTGTTTGTTTGTTTCTGCAAGCAACAACTACAACCATAAGCCAGGATCAACAGTTTAAAAATCAGTTGGTATCTTTAGGAATTGCAAATTATAACACTGAGATATTTCTACACACGTATCAAAATGACTAAAATCCAAAACACTGACAATACCAAATGCCGACAATGATATGGAGAAACAGGAACTCTTGTTAGTTACTGGGAGAAGTGCAAAACAGTACAGACATGTTAGAAGACAGTTTGGTCCTTTCTTACTGTAGTCATCATACTCTTACCACATATTTCAGTAATCATAGTTCTTGGTATTTAAGCAAATGAACTGAAAAATTACATCTACACAAAACCTGTACACAAATATCTATATCAGATTTACGCATAATTGCTAAAACTTGGAAGCAACCAAGATTCCTTTCAGTAAATGAATAAATCAGCATTCTATGACACATCCATCCAATGAAATATTATTCAGTAATAAAAATAAATGATCTCTTATGGAGAATCTAGAAAAAGGTTGATCTCATAGGTGTAGAGACTAGAATAGTAGACACTAGAGGTGAGAGAAAGCAGGAGGAAGGGGCAATCGGGAGAGGTTGGTCAAAAGGTACAAAGTTACAGTTAAATGGGAGGAATTTGTTCTATTGCACAGTAAGATGACTGTAGTTAACAATAATGCATTATATATTTCAAAATAGCTAGAAGAGAGGATTTTGAATGTTCCTACCACAAAAAAGTGATATGTATGATGTGGTAAATTTGCTAATTACCCTGAATTGACCGTCACATAATGTATACATGTATTGAAACCTCACATTGTATCTCAAAAATATGTACAATTATTATATACAACTTAAACTACAATTTAAGGAAAGGAAGAAATGAGCTATCAAACCTCAAAAAAATATGAAGCAACCTTAAATGCACCTTGCTAAATGAAAGAAGTCAACCTGAAAATAGTACACAGTGTATGATTCTAACTATATGACTTTCTAGATAAGGTAAAATTATAGAGACAGAAAAAAAAAGTCAGTAATTGCCACGTGTTTGGAGGGACAAATGGCGGGATGAATAGGTGGGGCACAGAGTATATTCAGGGCAGTGAAATTATTTTATAAGATACTATAATGGGCCGGGCGCAGTGGTTCATGCCTGTAATCCTAGCACTTTGGGAGGCTGAGGCGGGCAGATCACCTAAGGTCAGGAGTTCAAGATCAGCCTGGCCAACATGGTGAAATCCTGTCTCTACTAAAAGTACAAAAATTAGCCAGGCATGGTGGCACATGCCTGTAATCCCAGCTACCCGGGAGGCTGAGGCAGGAGAATCGCTGGAACCCGGGAGACGGGGGCTGCAGTGAGCAGAGATCACGACCGTGCACTCCAGCCTGGGAGACAAAGCGAGACTCTGTCTCAAAAAAAAAAAAAAAAAAAGGATTATATAATGATGGAGAGATGCCATTATACATTTGTCAATAACCATAGAATATACAATACAAAGAGTAAAACCTAATGCCAAACATGAACTTTAATTAATAATTTATTCGTGTTTGCTCATTAATTGTCATAAATGTACCACACTAATAAAAGATGTTAATAACAGGAGAAAAGGAGAAATTGGGAAACAAAAGTTAAGTTTCAGTTCAAATTTTCTGCAAACTCAACACTTCTAAAAAGTTATCTATTGGTTAAAAACATAAATAAAAGCATCTCAAAAAGTTTTACACTCTGATAGAATTAGTAGGTAGAATTGCTGTTATGAAGAGAAAAGAACTTAAAACATAAAATGTGGTTTGTAAACCAGTGTCTGGCAAATTCTGTAAATAAATGTGTGTATCAGTCCTTATGTTCTAAAATATTTTAATTTGAGTTTTTCTAAGCACTGAATATATTTATTTTATTTTTGCCAAGTTTCCTTAGCTTTGCAATTCACTAAGTTAATAGATGTAAGTTTCCTGAGTGGATCCTATAGCATTTTATGTTGGTGGTCCCTAAGATCAGAACAAAAGCCATATACTTGAAATATTTTATGTTTTAGAGGAAGTCAAAAGATTAAGCTTAAATATCCCTAAGGAAGTTTACATATCAAGTCTCTTTTAAACTTTTTAATATCATCCCAATCCCCTGTTTTCACCCGGACGAGCACACCAGCACAGAGGTTTTCTTCAATCAGTTATTTTTCAAACATTTATTCGCCAAATATACATTATAGTCTCGGTAAGCAGATGTTAACAAGACAAGAAAGTTGTCTGAAGCTTACGTGTCAATTGAGGGAGACAAAGTTTACATGGAGACAAAGGAATAAAATAGTAATTTTAGACATTAAGTGCAATCTAGAAAATAAATATATGAGAATGAATGGAAATCATCCTTGATCAGATATTCATGGAAGGTCATATTTGCTTTTGATTAGTTATCTTAATTATTTATCTCTCGGTTGAAATATGTGTTTGTTTGTTACCATTATGTTGCCTTTAAGAAATTGTAAGAAGTTGATATAAATTTTGTACCATAAAAATTTCTTAAAGTAGCACATATATTTGGGTAACTTTGGACCAAGTTATATACATTACACACATGTGGACATAACACATTAACAGAGTTCACAACGAAAAGCTCATTAATGAAAGAAATGTTGCTGAAACCTCAATCACTTATATTCAGAGATTATTATTGCTTTTAATCACTTAAATTGAGATATCCCTTTTCATGGTGCCAACATGGATTTCTCTTCTCACTCATAATTCTCCATTTCCTAATCCTAGTCTGCACAAGAAAAATTGGATTCTCTTACCAACGCTTCTCTGGTTCCTTTTCAGCTCAATGTAAGCCCTGTTAAAAGTATTCCAGTTAATCTTCACCTCAGGAAGAGGGGAGAACTGCCCTAAGAAATGTTTGTGTTGTCCTGAATTAGATCGGTTGAACTTGACAGTTTCTCACTGCTTTCATGTATCAGAGGTCCCTCATGGTGTCCCAATAATTTTAATCTTAATCTTTTCTTACAAGGAGCCAGAGTCCAAAATGTGCACATGCACACGCACACACATACACACACACACACACATATGTATATATAGTATATGAAATTAGAGATAATATCTGTTCTCAGTGGAAGTATTATTCAATGGGAAAATTCAATGTATTTATAATAGTATACTTGCAAGTAGAAAAACAAGAAACTCCATGATTAAGCAAATGTTTAATTTAAATGATTTAATTTACAGCTGATTAAATTTGTTAGCGTTTTCTCAAATAATGGATCAATTTACTCTAATAGGGAAAATAACTTACCATATAGACCTATTAATGTAATATATTCCATTAACACTTACATTGATGCACTCTGAAGCTGTTTGGATCATTGATGAGAGAAACAGACTAATCCGCGTTCTAGTCTCGGTTTCCCATCAATTAGTTGGGATTCTTGAGTAAATGTGGTTATATCTCTAGAGATCAATTCAAACGGTTTTTACATTCCCTATGTCATAGTTTTGCATGTGTGATGCACATGAGCTATCATGTATTAAACATAAATACTGATAAAATATTTTATTGTACTGATATTTTCAAATATTATTTTACTGATAAAATATTTTCTATTTATAAATGTAATAATTGTATGATGTAATACATTCTAAAATATTTTTCATTTTAACAATGGGCAAACGTGGCCTCCTTATACATATCTGTTTGTTTTAATTGGCTATGGGATAATTTATATTTTTGACTGATGATAGACAAATTTCAAAAGGTTAGCCATTATTGAATTATAGTTTCACTTTTGTTTAATCAAGGGATGCCAAGTCATGAGAAAAAGTAAATACATATGGAGACCACGTTTCTTATGAAAGTTTTTATTAATATTTAGTTTATTAGAGTTTATGTCTTTGCACATCAGTAAGCAACTTTTAGCTTTCTTCAATGCTTAGTTGGGACTTTTTGATTCACAAGGTTTTATGTGAACAAACCCATGAATATGTAACTCATGTTAATAAAAACTTCAATATTTGCATATTGAAAGACAATCCAGGCAAACATCCTCACACATACAACAAGAGCTCTTTTCAGTTATATGTCACATGCTAAACTAGAGTTGCTAATATATATGTAAAACTTAAAAGAAAGCAAGAAAATGATTATCTTACTCTTCTGTTGGCATGTAACATATTGCCAGTACTTAGTCTCCCCGTGTGCTCCTGTGCTCTTCTCAACCACCTCATTCTGTCTCTGTTTCAGTCTGTCTCTCTATCCCCATGCCCAGTGCCCCCTAGATACACACTTTGTATTTTTCTGTTTTTACACTCCATAGATAGAAAATCTTAGAGGATATATTCTGTTTCTTGCTTTTTCATGCTCAACATGACACTTTCTTCTTCATGGGGTAAATGAACTCTATTTGATGTGTTTCCATTGATATATAATATTGCATGAATATTTTACCAATTTTGATAAATTAGTCATTCCAGTTATGATGATTCATACTGATTCATCAATCAGTTTGGTATTTGGATTTTTTGCAGTTTTATTATAAAATATCTGCTATTGAACATGGGTAAGTACCCTGTAATTGTCACCTGTTCTGCAGGAGTCTGTCTCACACACACACACACACACACACACACACACACACTCACACACACATGCACACACCCAGACACGCATATACACACACACACAGAGGCAATTTAATCTTCCAAGTTCTTTGAAAATCTTTTTACCTGTAGTAAGAGATTCCCCTTTCTCAATTTGTTAACCACCCAGTTTGTCTCTTCCAAGGATTGTCAAAATGGTTAGTTTAGATGCTGTTTATTATGGCTTTGTATGTCATTGTTTCCATCACGTATTACACACCCTCTTAAGCGGGAAGAGTTACGGGGATGACCAAACACTGGACAGATGAGACTGAGATTCGTCATATGCATTCACAGCCCAGGGAAGAAGGCATCACTTGCCACTCAGGGCCATATGGGTATTTGAGAAGAGTGAAAAACCAGAAGCTATGGGAAGCTGACTTCGTGATATCAAGAAGATGAAGTGCCCCTTGGACCCAGTGGGGGATGTGATTGGCATGTTTGCCTATTTCTAATGGGTGGTGAGAAACTGAAACTCACTATTCAGTGATAAGCAGTACTTAACTTGGTCCAACTGATAATGAAGGTTGTTTGGCTAGGAGAACAGGAGAGCAGAGTGAGGAGGGGAAGTTGTGATTAGGCCATAGTCCTCCTGATTTTCCCAGCTGTCTAGAAAGCATAAATTGCTAATTTTAGGCCTTACCATATTCATTTACAATTTTCGTATGGTTTTAGGTCACTTATTGATTTTCTGTGCATTGCTGGTTTTTGACTCTTTCTACTTATCCTTACTGTTATTTAATATTTTGCTTTTTGATTAACAGATATATTTTATATATTCTGGATACTCTTCCCTTATCATTGCAAATTTGCTTTCCTAGTGTTTGATGAGTCTTTTCTCTTTCATTTTATATATTTTGATGTACAAACATCTTAGTTTAAATATAGTCAAAGGTATATTTTAACATTATTAGTAAATTTGGTGCCATGTTTACTATATCCTTAAACTCCTAATATTAATCTGTATTGCATCTTAAAATATATAATTTTGACTTTTACTTTTTTTTTAATCCACATGGAGTGAATGCTGTAGCGTAAGTATTCAATTTGGATGTTTCTTTATTCCCTTGCATATACACAATTGTCCTGAGAATATTTAATATATAGGGCATGCGTTTCTCAGTCATTTATAGTGCCATCTCTACAGTAAAACAAATGTGCATATGTATATCTCCAATTTGAGATCATTTTGGTTTTTCAGTGGTTTTACATTGTCCTATTCCTGTGCCAATGCAACACAATATTAGTTAATATATTCATATTATCTCATTTTTTCCACTTTTATTTATATTTTTATGGATATATGAGTTATATGTTTGTATAAAGTACACGTGATATTTTGATACAAGTATATAGTGTGTAATTATCAAAGCAGGGTAATTGGGATATCCAACACCTCAAATATTTATCGTCTAATTCTGCTTCCCTAGTTATTGTGAAATATACAATAAATTATTGTTAACTATAGTTACCCAGTTGTGTTACTAAACACAAGATCTTAATCCTTCTATCTGTATTTTTGTACCCATTAACTATCTTCTCTTTATCCCTCCCTTCCCACTACTCTTCCCAGCCTCCGTCAACCATCATTCCACTCTCTATCTCTATGAAGTCATTTTCTTTTTACTTCCCACATATGACTGAGAACATGTAATATTATTCCCTCTGTGCCTGGGTTATTTCATTTAATATGACATCCTCCAGTTCTGCGTTGTTGCAAATTACAGGATTTCATTCTTTTTATGGTTGAATAATAATATTCATATATATATATATATATATATATGTGAATTTCCTTTATCCATTTATCCATTGATGGACACTTAGGTAGATTCCATAACGGCTATTTTGAACAGTTCTGCAACAAACATGGGCATGCAGATATCTCTTCAATATACTGATTTTCTTTCATTGGATATATACACTGTAATGAGATTGTGGATCATATTTTAGTTTTATTTTTAGGTTTTTAAGAAACTTTCATACTGTTCTCCATAGTAGCAGTACCAATTTACCTTCCCATCAACAGTTTATGAGGTTTCTTCTTTCTCCACATGCTCACCAGCATCCGTTGTTGTCTCTTTTTTGATAAAAGCCACTTTAACTGGGGTGAGATATCTCATTGTTGTTTTGATTTGCATTTTTTTTCTGATGATTAGTGGTGTTGGGCATTTTTAATATACTTGTTGGCCATTTATATTTCTTATTTTGAGAAATGTCTATTCAGATCTTTTGCTCATTTTTTAATCACTTTTTTCCTATTGAGTTGTTTGAGCATCTTATATATTCCCGTTATTAATCCCTTGTCAGATGAGGTGTTTGAAAATATATTCTCCCATTCTGTGGGTTGTCTTTTCACTTTTTCCAGATCTTAGAAGGAAGGTTTTCAGTTTTTGCTGTTCAGTGTGATACTACCTGTGGGTTTGTCACATACGGCTTTTATTGTGTTTAGGTATGTTCCTTTTATACCCAGTTTTTAAAAGAGTTTTTATCATGAAGGGATATCAAATTTAAAAAGAATTTTAATTTTAATTAAATAAATTTTAATTAAAAATTTGAAAAAGTATTTTATCAAATACTTTTATGACATCAACTGAAATAATCATATGGTTTGTGTCCTCCATTCTGTTAATGTCGTGCATCATATTTACGGTTGGCATATGCTGAAACATCTTTTCAGCCCTGGGATACTCCCCTTTGATCATGATGAATGACATTGTTAATGTGTTGTTGAATGTAGTTGCTCATATTGTGTTGCGGATTTCTGCATCTATGTTCGTTAGGGACATTGGCCTGCAGTTTCCCTTTTTTGGTTATGTCTTTGTCTAGTTTTAGTACCAGGGTAATTAGTAGCCTTGTAGAATTAGTTTGAAAGTTTTCCCTGCTCCTGGATTTTTTGAATAGTTTGAATAAGATTGATCAGTTAGTTGTTTTTTAAATGTTTGCTATAATTCAGCAGTGAAGAAATCAGACCCTGGGCTTTTCTTTGATGGAAGAATTTTTATTACTGCTTTTATCTCATTACTTGTTATTGGTATACTCAGGTTTTGGATTTCCTCATGGCTTAATCTTGGTAGGTTGTATGTATTTAAGAGCTCATCTATTTACTTAGGGTTTTCTAATTTATTGGCTTACAATTGCTCATAATAGTCTCTAACAATCCTTTGCATTCTATGGCAGCAGCTAGATATATCCTTTTTCGACTCTGATTTTGTTTGGGTCTTTCCCTTTTCTTCTTAGTCTGGCTAAATGTAAATTTCATTTATCTTTTCAGAAAAACTTTGGTTTGGTTTATCTATTTTTCATCTCAATAGTGTATATTTCTGCTCTGATAGTCATTCTTTTCTTCTACTAATTTGCTCTTTTCTAGTTTTTTATGATACATCATTAAGTTATTTGAAGCTTTTTTCTTTTTTGATGTAGGAATTTGTTGCTATAAACTTCCCTTTAATACCAGTTTTGGTGTATTCCATAGATTTTTGTACACTGTATTTCGATTTTCATTTGTTTTAATATTAAAAATAGATTTCTTCCTAATTTCTTATTGACCCACAGTCATTTAGGAGCATATTGTTTATGTTCCTTGTGCTTTCATAGTTTCCAACATTCCTCTCATTACTATTAGTTTTATTCCATTGTGGTCCAAAAACTTACCTGATATGATTTCAATATTTTTGAATTTTTTTACACTTGTCTGCAGCCTAACATATGGCTTATCCTTAAGAATGTTCCATGTGTGAGGAGAAAAATATGTATTCATCAGCTTTTGGATAAAATGTTCTATAAATGTCTATTAGGTTCATTTGGTTTATAGTACAGATTAAGTCTGGTGTCTATTTGTTGATTTGCTATCTAGGTAATATGTCAAATGTAAGTGGATTTAAAAGTCTCAAACTCTGTTGTATTGGGGTCTATCTCTCTCCTTATCTCCAATATTTGTTTTACATATTTATATGACTTAGCACTGGCTGCACATATATTTAAAAGTTTTATATCCTCTTGCCAAATTCAGCCCTTTATGATTATATAAGGATGTTCTTTGCCCCTTTTTATAGTTTTTGTCCTAAAATCTATTTTTTTCTGATAAAAATATATCTACTCTTGCTTTTTTTGTTTGCATTTGCATGTAACATCTTTTTCTATCCCTTCATTTTCAGTTTACGCATGTCTCTATAGGTTAAAGGATTTTCCCGTATGGAGAATATAGTTGGGTCTTTTTTTTATTAATTCACACATTCTATGTATTTTGATTGGATTATATTTTTCATTTCCGTGCAATGTTATTTTTGATAGGTAAGGACTTACTGCTGTGATTTTGTTGTTTTCTTATTGTTTTATTGGTACTCTCTTCTTCCCCCCCCCGCCTTTTTTTTTTTTTTTTTTTTTTTGTTTTCTTTGTGTAAATGTGATTTTACCTGGCAATATGTTTTAACTTCTGGCTTTATTTTTTGGTATTTATTATGGGATTTTGCTTTGTGTTTACCATGATGCTTAAAACAACATCTTGTAACCAATTATTTTAAACTGCTAACAACTTAAATCTAATCATAAAGAAAAGAAAAACCAAAAAAAAAAGCAAGCAAAAAGAACATTTAAAAAAACCTCTTCACTTTAACTCCATCCCTCTCCTTTTTTGCTTTTTCTGTTCACTATTTATCTTTTTGAAATTGTTGTAGTTACTACTCTGTGTAGGCTTATCTTTTAGTCTTTATACTAAAGATATAAGTGGTTTACCCACTGCAATTATGATGCTAGGGTATTGTCTTTGTCCATATACTTACTTTTACCGGTGAGTTTTATTCATTCATATAATTTCTTATTACTCTTTAACATCCTTGTCTTTCATACTGAAGAACTCCTTTTAGCATTTCTTTGTAAGATAGTTCTGGTGGCGATAAATTCTCTCACCTTTTGTTTGTCTGGTATAGTCTTTATTTCTCATTCATGTTTGAAGGATAATTTTGCTGGACATAATATTTTAGGTTGAAAGGGTGTGTGTGTGTGTGTGCGTGTGCACCTTAAATATGTCATCCCACTCCCTCCTTGTAAGTAAAGTTTCTGCTAAGTCTGCTGCCAGACGTATTAGAGCTTCTGTATATGCTGTTTGCCTCTTTTCTTTTGCTGCTTTTGAGAATCTTCTTTTATCTTTGACCTTTGAGAATTTATTATATACGCCGAGATAGTCTTATTTGGGTTGAATCATTCTGAGGTTCTCTAACCTTCTTGTACCTGTCTATTCACATCTTTCCCTATTTTTGTAAAGTTCTATGTTATTATTTATTTGAATACGTTTTCTACCCCAATCTATCTCTCTCCCCATCCTTCTTAATCCCAGTAACTCTTAGATTTGTTGTATATATACACATACAATGGACTGCCTTCTGGTTCAGAGTGAGTCTAGGAACATAGTCCAGGAGTAAAATCCTGGAATCACAGGGTTTAGGAATTTTCTTGGTGCTTTATTTTACTGTGCCTGAGCTGGTACCCAAGTTGCAAAACAAAGTCTTCTGTACTCTTCTCTCCCCTGAGTGGGAAATGTCATTCCCTGAGCTACTCTGCCAGGAGTTGGGGGGAAGGTGGTGCAAACATTCCCATGGCCACTGCAGTTGGTGTCACACTGGGTTACATCCAAAGTCCACTGCCTCTGAGACCAGGGCAACTGCATGGCTTGCCCAAGAATTGCAGTCCTGTGGCTCAACTGCCACACAAATTAATTCAGGCCCGCATCATTTAAGTCAGTCAATAGTGAAGCTGGCCAGCATTTAGTTTCCTTCCACTGGAGCAGAGGATTCTCCTCTAGTCCAGGGCTGGTCCATATGCCCCCTCCAGGGGCACCAGCTGTATTATTATTCCACTGTGACAGAGAGGCACTGAGTTCCAGTGCAAAGTTCCACACTCACTTTGCTCTCCTTCCACTAGGCACACAGCTTCTCACTCCATGCTTATACTAGCTGGAGGAGAGGTGGTGCAGGCAATGTAAGACTGTCTTTTCTACCCTCTTCAATGACTCTCTACTTGTTATTATGTTAAAAGTAGGTTCTGTGATCACTGACCTGAATTTTTTGTCCTTATGAAGGTGCTTTCTTGTGTAGATAGTTTTTAGTTCAATTTGATGCTCCTACAGGGAGATGAATGCTAGAAGGTTCTACTAGGCCATCTGGTTCTGCCTCTTTCTCCAAAATCTGAGTATTTTTAAGGCAAATATTTTTATTTTATGCCTTTTTAAAAAATTTTATTTGTCTTCTTGGGTATTCTTGGCCCTTTGCTCTTTCTTATATATTAGTATGAGCTTGTCAAGTTTCTTGTAGCCTCTTTTAGAATTTTGATTACATTTTTTAAAAATACATTTTACTATAAATTGGCAATTTATAATTGTATAAATTTATAGGGTACAAATATTATAATTTGAGTACAACGAGCAATAATTAAATCAGCTAGTTCACATATCCATTACCTCAAATATGTAACACAATGTTGTAGTGAGAAGAGTTAATATTTACTCTCTTCGCAATTTTGAAATATATAGTACTCTATTATTAACTACTTTCACCATACTGTGAAATAGAACTCAAAAAAAGAAAAAAAAACACATCTTTCTCTTAATGGAAACTGTGTACCCTTTGACCTTCATTTCCCCATTTACTCAACCTTTCAGTGTATGTAATCAACATTCTACTTCCTTAGAAGTATGTAAGCTATTTTATTCTAAACACTCTTTGCCCTCTGATGATAGCATGTTTTTCTTTTATCCACAAGAAGAAGCTAAAAGAGTGAGACCAAAAAAAACACATGGAGTTCCATAATCATTGGTGTCATCAAAATATACAGGAATTTCACAGGCTAATTAATTTGCTCTCAAAGTCTTCTCTGTCCTACTGACATTTGTTTTGTTTTACTTTTCCCTTTATGCACTCCTTCTATCATAAAAAATAATAAATCTATTATCTCTACTTGCTAAGAGAAACTAATTTTTAACAGTAAAACTATGTCAATTTTAAAAATTATTTTAATTATAATGCCTGAACATTCATTTATAAAAGGAATTTTTTTCTGAACTGAGTATAAGTATGATTGAGTAGACATATTGTAATCCATCTTGGTACACTTATATTATCGTGGCTGGATGGAAAACTTCTAAGAGTGGAGGTGACAGGTCAAGAATACGCCAATTTTAAATTCTGGTATATATTATCAAATAGTCCTAATGACTGTACAAGTATAAACGTCTATCAAAAATTTACAAGGGTGACTAATTTGTTATGCCCTTATAATCATTGTGTATTTCAGTTATTTAAATTACTATATAGTTCATATAATAGAGATGACTGTTTTGTTTTTTATTTAGTATTTTAATAATTATTTAATCATCCATTGTTTTAGAGCCATATAATTAACTATATTTCAATGTCAAAACATAACATATTAATATATACTAATACTTAGGAAGAGTCACAGTGTGTCTGTGAATGAAAGGAAGTTGAAAGCAGTGTGTATAATAAAATGCCAATTTGTAAAATATGTGAAAGTTTGTGTATATCTGGATGTTTATAAGTGCACTAATATGCACACATATAAAGATCTATATATATATACTGAAAACTTTGAGAGGTACCACTGGTATTAATAACAATGGTAATTTTAAGAAGAATACTTAGACTTTTTAAAATTTATTGTAATAACATTCTCTAATAGTCACTGGCTTCTCAAGATGAAGCTAATACAGAATCTATGACTCTTTCCTTCTTATGATGTTACAAGTAGGTACTATGATTGCTAACCTTCATATGAAGGTGATGTATTTTGTAGATAGTTGTTCAATTTGGTGTTCTTAAAGGGGAATGATTGCTAAAAGGTTCAACTCAGCCATCTGGCTGTGTCTGTCTCCAAAATCTCAATATTTTTAAGGCCAATATTCATACCTGTGAAATCTGAGCTTGCTCTCTGAAAATACAATATGACTTAGTACCTCCTGATAGGAAAGCATTGATGCGTTTTCACTAGACCTTAATTCATCACTAGCATAAATCTAGACAATGTAAACAAAATCTGTTTTAATAGCTGTTGAGCTCTGTTAATCTATAATGTAAAAATATATGAATATAATATTATCTATGTAACATATTATTTATTCATTAACTTGGATGCCAAAATTTTTAAATTTAAAATTTCAAAGATTATATTTCTAATTAATATATATTAATTTATGCTGCATAATTCAGTTATTTATCTTGGAGATAAAATAAAATTACATTCCACACTTGTAAAATTCACATTCCATATATCAACATTAATATGCTGGGCATGAAGAAATGAGAGACTTTGTTCACTGCAATAACTACTTACTCTTGACACTGCACTCATGTACATGTATACGTTCATATATATCTCAAGAAATGTGTTAAATCCAGTGTTTACATAACTGATGGCAATATAAGTATTTATTTAATGATACTGATGAAAACAGTAAATTGAAGACAGGCTTTCTGAAAAACAAGTCAATGTTCTTGTTCTGATAAACAAGAAAATGTTTTATGCAAATATGTTAACTCATGAATAAGTTGATTACAGCAGCATTACTCTTTTTATATTTGCATGTATTATTAACTTATTTTAAAGCTAACAGGCCAGTCCTATAATTTAATATAGTATAAATTGGATGTTTATTTAAATTGTTTAAGTTTGTTTAAGTGGCACTTTTATTTCTTTTTTAAGGTGGATTTACAGAAGAGTTGGATGTATGATGAATATTCTTAACCTTTGGATATTAATATTCAGGCTTATCCTGAACAATCGAACAGAACAACTGGACTTTTCACTAAGTGGTTAAAAATAACTGAGTCAACAGAAATATTTTTAGTTGCCATTTTAGTACTTATTTGATTTTTCTCTTAAAATAAATAAGCTCAAATTCACCTTTATTTAATCTTTGCACCCAATAGTTATTCTCTTCTATCAGACTTTTTTGACAAATACTGGATATCTTCTTAGTCATAATAAGATCTGATGAACAGAGATCAGAACAATGACACTTTTAACAAGTGCACTTCTGATTTCTTTTCTCACTTAATGAAAGACATCACTTTAGTGATTTACTATCACTAGAATTTTGCCACATACGAATACAACTATTATATTTTTAAATTATTTTTAAGTTTGTAAAAAGGCATTTATGGCCTTAGCATCAGACAAATCCTGATATTTGATGATATAACTAGAAAGTGACTTACATAGAAATTATAAAGATATTTTGGTATCTTTGCTGGAAATTTTAATGGCCCTTCCATTATCACGAATGTAAGATAGATAACATCAAGTAAATATTAGTGTTATTAGCATTGATGATATTTATGCATGGGAATTAAAGAGAAGACTAGACTTCCTTAATTTTGAACGTTAAAATAATGTGAGTATTTAAATTGAGAATAAATATTTCCAAGAAATGTCTAAAATTAAAGCATGGAATATTAGGGCTTCAGGTAATTTTCCCTTAATTTATGTTGTAGCATGATGCATTTTTCTTATTCTAAATTTCTGACCACTACCATACAGATCATTTATTCTGCTAACAATGGAATGTGCCAAGTGCTTCCTATTTAAGACACCAATGCTATACAACACAAGTTGGCTTAACGCCTACTTGTTTTTCAAGGTCTAGTGCTAACGTTATTGCTTTCCTGAAGCTTTTCCAAAATCCATCATTTCCAGACAAAACTAGTTATTAGCAAAACCTGAGGTGTTAAACATGATATTCACAACTTTAAATTAATATAGAATAAAATACTATGGATATAGTTCATAAGCTAAGAAATTATTATATGAAAATATTTCTGTATGTGTAAAGTTGAAGTGTGTATCACATGAGGTGCCTTGATTAATATGTTGGTAAGATTTTTAAGAAATTTGTATTGCTTTTTATTTAAAATAAAATTATTACTGTATTTAAAATAAAATAAAATTTCTTCAGCATTAGTAGCCATTAGACATCTTTTAGCTCAAGAGTCAGACTCTCATTCATTCAGTACAGAGTAGAATTGGTAAATGATACTCTCAGAAAAATACTAGATTTAGGCCGGGCGCGGTGGCTCACGCCTGTAATCCCAGCACTTTGGGAGGCCGAGGCGGGCGGATCACGAGGTCAGGAGATCGAGACCATCCCGGCTAAAACGGTGAAACCCCGTCTCTACTAAAAATACAAAAAATTAGCCGGGCGTAGTGGCGGGCGCCTGTAGTCCCAGCTACTTGGGAGGCTGAGGCAGGAGAATGGCGTGAACCCGGGAGGCGGAGCTTGCAGTGAGCCGAGATCCCGCCACTGCACTCCAGCCTGGGCGACAGAGCGAGACTCCGTCTCAAAAAAAAAAAAAAAAAAAAAAAAAAAAAAAAAAAAAAGAAAAATACTAGATTTAGATATCAGACATTAGAATTAGGGAAAGGACTGTTACAGTACTATGGTGAAAAAATGTAACAGAGGAGAAAAAATGAAAATCATTTCTCCCTTTAGAATATAAAATTTTAGGATGTAATCCCTTTTTTAGATAAGAAAAACACAACTTAGTCATATGTTTTCCTATGGGAAGAGACAAGCTCTCACAAAGACATAGAAAATTTTCTCCGCCGAAATGAAAAAAAAAGGAATATCTTGCCAATTTTTTCTTTTTCTTTTTTCTTCTTGATTAAGCCTTTTTATATCACAGGGGAGAGAAAATTGATTAGAAGTATTTAAATGTTTCATTTGGATGACATTATTTTTTAGTTTCCTACTTGATACAAGATTTATTCAAAGATTGATTTGTAATAATATACTAATTATCTCAATTTTAAAATAAATATTCTTAAATAAATTATGTAATCTACACAACAGTTTTCTTGTCAAAATTTCTCTTTGTCAAAAATTCTCATATAGTGTTCAGGCGTTTTGTTACTATTCAACATATTAATTTAAATTAGCTTTTTTATTTGCCTTTGCTTTTCCAACATTTGCTGGTTGCCCTTCCAAAACAATGTCTTTTTGGCAGCCTCTCTCAGAAAAGGTTTGATTAACTTATGAATGGGCATCATGCCACGTAAACAGATGAGGTAGAGTAGGTAGAATATAAACAGAATGTATCTGTCAGTGTAGCCATTGTGCTGGTATAATCCATGATTTCATTCTAAGTAACTGTATTAATGTACATATTAAGCCATAGTCACCTAGAGCATAAACTCTTTAATGACGAACAGGGACTTTTAGAAGCTGCTAAAAAAAATTTTATGCCAGTAGGATAATGTGCTATGTATTAAGGCAACTTAATAAATTATACAAGCTAAAAAAATTTGCACTGTACCAGTCCATCGGTAGAGTGGTGATGACAGCCTAAAGGCAGTCTAAATTCCCATGCATTGTTTTATCTCTTCTTTAATCAAGTATTAAGGTCTGCTAATGTTCAAGCAGTGTGATATACACTTATAAAAATATGTTATCTCATTTACGAGGCACAAAATTCAATTGAGCAAATATTCCTATTTTTAGCAGATGGGGAACACCGGCAGAGAGATTGTTCTGCCTCTTTCTCTCTTGGTCATTGTAACGATTTTTGTATCTTTTTCATTGTAAGTAAGAGTTTATCTTAGCTCTGTGTAAATCTGAAAATCAGCTGCTAATGTGGAGTTTTGATTTCTTTTTTACCTTTTTTTTTTTTTTTTGCGACGGAGTGTTGCTCTGTCGCCCGGGCTGGAGTGCAGCGGCGCGGTCTCCGCTCACTGCAACCTCTGCCTCCCGCCTTCATGCCATTCTCCTGCCTCAGCCTCCGGAGTAGCTGGGACTACAGGCGCCCGCCACCATGCCCGGCTAATTTTTTTTGTATTTTTAGTAGAGACGGGGTTTCACTGTGTTAGACAGGATGGTCTCGATCGCCTGACATCGTGATCCACCCGCTTCGGCCTCCCAAGGATTTATTTAAGAATCTAAATATGTGAATGAGTGTAGATAAACCATCTTTGGGTGCTGCTGAAATTGCAAGATAAAATTCCCCACAACTAAGACTGTGGTTTCATTGAAAGTTGAGCAAAATGTCCTAAGTAAAAACAAGTACTTTCGGTAGGAACACGTTCACCTCTCAGACAGATGATAAGCTGTAAGTACTCAGGGTGGTCGATAAGTAGATGTTTAGGTTCCTATTTCTCATTCAGGGCAGAATCCTTGGGCAATTTTCATTTGACACCCAGATTATGTAAATCAAGACCAGAGTAAGACAACTCTCCCTTTTCCCTTCCCAGTTACTGAAAGTGAATAAAATTATTGGAAACAGATTTCAATGTGCAAACCTTTACTCTCACAATATGCTGCAGCCATTTATCTTCATGCTCATTATTGAATCCCATACATTAAAAAAAAAAAATAGTTTAGGCCGGGCGCGGTGGCTCACGCTTGTAATCCCAGCACTTTGGGAGGCTGAGGTGGGCGGCGGATCACCTGAGGTCAGGAGTTCAAGACCAGCCTGACCAACATGGAGAAACCCCGTCTCTACTAAAAATACAAAACAAATTAGCCAGGCGTGGTGGCACATACCTGTAATCCCAGCTACTCGGGATGTTGAGGCAGGCGAATCGCTTGAACCTGGGAGGCGGAAGTTGTGGCGAGCTGAGATCACACCATTGCACTCCAGCCTGGGCAACAAGTGTGAAACTCCGTCTCAAAAAAAAAAAAATAGTATTAAACCAATGTCTGACTTCCTCTTTTTTAAATGCCATGTTTAATGGACACAAAAGTAGAGAAAAAAAGTCAATGAAATAAAAGGAGATGGAATTTAAACCTACCCCATTCTACGTAATGAACAGTTCCTGAGATGGAAAACTCAAAGGTGAGATACTAGAGTTATAAAGTGAGACATTAAAAGTACTCCAAAACATTAAAGCATCAATCTATTTTTAGACTAAATACAAGGAGGTCTATAGTGCCCTATCCCCACCAAATGCTTAATAAGAGGTGCAAGTCTGGACAGAATAAGGAGTAGTATTTACATGAGAAATAAAGCCACATAGCAATGTGCAGGTGGGACAGAAAATATGGTGAGTGCACCCTGAATGCTAGCTGTATGAAGTGGCAAACAAAAATTTGTTTCTAGGTGGTGGTACTTGCACTACTCTATTTGTTCTCTCTCTCGCTTCCTTCCTTCTTTCCTTCCTTCCTTTTTCCCTCATTCCTTCCTTCTTTCCTTCCTTCCTGCCCTCATTCCTTCCTTCCTCCCTCCTTCCCTTTTTTCCCTTCCTTCCCTCATTCATTCCTTCCTTCCTCCCTCCTTCTTCCCTCCTTCCTTCCTTCATTCTTTCCTTCCTTTTTCCCCTTCCTTCCTTCTTTCCTTCCTTCTTCCCTCCCTCCCTGCCTCCCTCCTTCCCTTTTTTCCCTTCCTTCCTTCATTCCTTCTTTCCTCCCTCCCTTTTTCCCTCATTCCTTCCTTCTTTCCTTCCTTCCTCCCTCCCTCCCTTTTTCCCCTTCCTTCCTCCCCTTCCTTCCTCCCTCCCTCCCTTTTTCCCCTTCCTTCCTTCCTTCCTTCCTCCCTCCCCTTCCTTCCTCCATCCCTCCCTTTTTCCCTCATTCCTTCCTTTTCCTTCATTCCTTCCTTCTTTCCTTCCTTCCTCCTTTTCCTTCCTTCCTTTTTTCCTTCCTTCCTCCTCCCTCCCTTTTTCCCTCATTCCTTCCGTCTCATTCCTTCCGTCTTTCCTTCCTTCCTCCCTCCCTTTTTCCCCTTCCTTTTTTTCTTTCCTTCCTTCCTCCCTCCCTTTTTCCCCTTCCTTCTTTTTCTTTCTTTCCTTCCTTCCTTCCTCCTCTCTCCCTCCTTCCTTCATTTCTTCCTTCCTTCCTTTTCTTCCTTTCAATAATAATAGCTAATTAATCTTCAATTTTCTCCCCCATTCAGTGTCTTCCAGTTACTATAAAATCTAGATCCTCTCAAAAGGTGAGGATTCCCAAATCTCAGTTGAGGAAAAACAAAATAATTTCTTCACAGAGATTAAAAGGGATTAGTTGCTGACGCTAGAATAGGTATTAGTGACTTCAATCCTAATTTTGCCTTAATCGTTTCTGTAAAAAGCCAAAAACGTATTTAACATAAACTGATTTGAGTTACATATAAATGGTGTGTAAATGACATTTGAATAAGGATGTATTAGGTGGCAGTAACTTGAGTTCTCTAAAGAAAAATATTGAGAAGTCTTCATTATCTTGTAATAAAAATCATTTTAATATAAAATATAAAAATAAAACCTAATTTGGTATTTGACATATTATCATTGGCCAGTATTTGCTGAAAGCCATTACAGTACACCCGTGAGCATCCCACCACTATAGAAGCTATTATTTCACCTTAAGTCATATTTCATCCAGACCTTAAGTTTATACTCTAACTGCTAAACACGTTTATTGCTTCACAAATATCAGAAAATAGTTTGTTCTCAAATAAGCTGATTAGTAATTAACAAAGTAAATTTGTGAGTATTCCACTCGTTTGGGTAATATATTTTAGAAAATTTGGCTAATCAACATTTTTGTCCTTCAGCAAATGTAACATCAGTTAATGAACTTGGCTATAAGGACTTTATACGTAACAAATGAACAACTTATTAATTGAATAATTATTTTCTGGGGAATAAGGAAGGAGTTTATCTTCTTCATGGTAATATAAATTATTTATTTTAAACAATAAATCAATATAGTGCACAGTATCAGAAAATATGTTGTTACACTATGTGTTCTTATCCTGCCATATGCCAGAAAACCTAAATATAAGCAAGGTGTCATATATTTAAATTATGTTCTAACATGATAATGATCTAATACACAATTTTTCAGTTGTGCTTTCTTTCAAGGCTGCTTTTATATTTTCATCAAGTGATAGTAAAATAGATTATCTTCTGTGTTTCTTACAGCACTTTAGGCTACTTCAGAGAAATCAATGTAGAACAAAGAAAAATGACGTTTTCTTTTCACAGGACATTTAATTATGGTTAAGCTCTATTTTATTTTATAATATGCTAATGGATAATAAGTATGTTTTTACACTTAAACTTGAGTTGAAAAACTCTCTCTGGCCTTATGTAAATCTGAAATGAAAGATCTGGCTAGCATCTTCGTAGAAAAGATTGTCTAAGCATCTATACTTATATCTATCTATTTTCATCTATCTCTCTGTCATTCTATGTATACATATTTTTGTGTAAACATATAAATACAAAATAGATATGTGCATATTTATGTAATTTAGATATCGATCTGTGTCTGTGTTGATACATCTATAAGAATACCTATACATATGTGTAGCTATGTTATCTATATACAGACAGCTAACATTACATATGAGACAGTGGTAGAGTGTTGATAATTCAACTCTTCATCTATCATTACTTAAATGTTGAATCTGGACTTACCTTTGGCTTTTCACATTGACAACCTGGAGTAATAATGTGTTCCAGTTACTGAGAGGTGACAACGTGCTAGCAGCCCTCACTCACTCTCAGCACCTCCTCGGCCTCGGAGCCCTTCAGCCCGCCACTGCACTGTCCCAGCCCCTCTCTGGGCTGGTCGAGGCCAGAGCCGGCTCCCTCCGCTTGTAGGGAGGTGTGGAGATAGAGGCGTAGGCGGGAACCGGGGCTGGGCCGGGAGGGGCGACACGGCTCGCGGGCCAGCGCGAGTTCCAGGTGGGCGCAGCCTCAGCGGGCCTGCACTCCGAGCGGCTGGCCCGAAATGAGGGGCTTGGCACCCAGGCCAGCAGCAGCGGAGGATGCGCTGGGTCCCCGACCGCTACCAGACCTCCCGCGCCAGGCTTGAATTCTCACCGGGCCTCAGCCGCCTCCCCACGCGGCAGGGTTCAAGACCTGCAGCCCGCCATGCCCAAACCTCCCGCGCCCGCGCCCGCGTCCGTGCCCCTGCGTCGCCCCGCCCCCTCCGCCCATCCCCGCGCCTCTCCCCGCGCCCCCCGCCACCTCCCCCCTCCCCCCCGCGCACCCCCCCGTGCCACCTCCCCCATTCCCGCACCCACCGCGACCCCCGACCATGGGCTCCAGTGCGGCCGGAGCCTCCCCAACACACGCACCGCCCCCTCCTCCGCAGCACCCGGTCCCATCGACTGCCCAATGGCTGAGGAGTGTGGGCCTGCGGGATCTAGTAGGCAAAGCCAGCTGGGCTCCTGAGTCTGATGGGGACTTGGAGAACTTTTATGTCTAGCTAGAGGATTGTAAATGCACCAATCAGTACTCTGTGTCTAGCTCAGGGATTGTAAATGCACCAATCAGCACCCTGTCAAAATGGGCCAATCAGCTCTCTGTAAAATGGACCAATCAATCAGCAGGATGTGGGAGGGTTCAGATAAGAGAATAAAAGCAGGCTGCTGGAGGCAGCAGTGGCAACCTGCTCCTGTCCCCTTCCACACTGTGGAAGCTTTGTTCCTTCACTCTTTGCAGTAAATCTTGCTGTTTGTTGCTCACTCTTTGGGTCCCTGCTGCCTATAAGAGCTGTAACACTCACCATGAAGGTCTGCAGCTTCACTACTGAAGCCAGCGAATCCACCAGAAGAAAGAAACTCCAGACACATCCGAACTTCAGAAGGAACAAACTCCGGACATACCATCTTTAAGAACTGTAACACTCCACGGGAGGGTCCGCGGCTTCTTTCTTGAAGTCAGTGAGACCAAGAACCGACCAATTCCAGACACATTACCATAAATATATGCAACTTCTTTGCACTAGGTTTCCTGTCACTTAGTCCCAACAATGCACTAAAGAACTTTCCATCAACTCCCATGTGACTAATTTAAAACTACTTCTACCTCAACCGTAAATCAATCCCACCATTACCATTCTTCAATTGTATTGTAAAATCCTATTTTTGACTCCACTGATTATACTTAGTACATCATTATCTCACTTTCTTCATTTCCTTCCTTGTTTAGATTCATTCCTATACTGTTATTGCAAAAGTATGTTTTGAAATACATTAAACTTCCCTGTGTTGATGTACTTCTAGAATACTTCTAATGGGTGCAGCACACCAACATGGCACATGTATACATATGTAACAAACCTGCACATTGTGCACATGTACCCTAAAACTTAAAGTATAATAAAATAAAATAATAATAATATATATTAGTTTGGACAGGTTAGTTTGAGTAATAAACATACTCCAAAATTTCAATGTAGTACTAGATGTCAGCAAACTATGGTGTATATATCTGGTTCATGGTCTGTTTTAGTAAATAAGTGTTTATTGAACACAGTCATGTTTGTTTGTGTTGTCTCTGGCAGCTTTTTCATTACAATTGCACAGATAAGTACTTGTGACAGAGACCTTATAGCCCACAAAGCTTAAATTATTTACTATCTTGCCTTTTAGAGTAAAAGAGTGCCTACCATTTATCTATCACAAGTAAATTTATTTTCTGTTGGCAAAAATATCTTGAATAGATACAAGTTTTGCTGGGAATTTCTCTGTCACGTGGTTATTCAGGGAACTTGTTTGATGGTCTCTCTGCCTTCTGCAACATGTGACCTCCAAGATTGTCCTGACATATTTATCCCAGTCAGATGAAAGACCACAGAGGAATGGATGGGAATATTTCATGCGTCAGAACTGAACTTACCTAAGATAAATTTCACTCACAGTTTTTGGCTGGAAATCAACTACTGGTCTTGTTGAGATACAAGGGAGAATGAAATAAGTAGCCCAGTTTTGTATTCCAGGAAAGAATACAGATTTTACTGAACAACCTGCAGTATTTGCCACAAGCTGTCTGTTAGAATGTTAATCTTGGAAGACCTCAACAATATGATTCTTCTAGGCCTCTCAGTGAACAGTCTAACAATGCTGTAGAAATTCACAAAACAAGGTTAATTTTTGTCACAATACAGAGAGGCATCAGATTCAAGTGGGATTTTCAACTTGTTCTAAAAATCATGTTAGAATTCTCTAGTGAACTCTCATACTTCCAAGTAACAATTTCAAACTTTCTTTACTTTATCCAACCTTTCACTTCTCTTTCAGCACTACTATCCCCTCTGTCTTAGAAGATAACCTTATCACTGGCTTCAAGGGGAAGTATAATCCATCAGATGGTCAGTCTTGAAAACTTTTGTACCAGTGATATCAACTTAACTTGCATCTGCAGCCAACCTTCACTTTTTCCCCGCTCTTATAAAACAGGAGTTCTTTCACTGAAGGACAAAACTTTTACTTCTACTGGAGATCCTTTATTTCTTACTAATTAAGAATATTACATAGCTTAGCCACTCGCGGTGGCTCACGGCTGTAATCCCAGCACTTTGGGAGGCCGAGGCAGGCCAATCACGAGGTCAGGAGATGGAGACCATCCTGGCCAACACGGTGAAACCCCATCTCTACTAAAAAAAAATACAAAAAATTAGCTGGGCGTGGTGGGCGCCTGTAGTCCCAGCTACTAGGGAGGCTGAGGCAGGAGAATGGCGTGAACCCAGGAGGTGGAGCTTGCAGTGAGCCGAGATTGCGCCACTGTACTCCTACCTGGGCGACAGAGCGAGACTCAGTCTCAAAAAAAAAAAAAAAAAAAAAAAAGAATATTACATAGCTTATTGTCCACGTGACAATAATTCCTCTGATAATAAGCTATGTAACTGATATTTATTTAAAATATAATTCTCAAGTTATAATCCTTTGGATAGTCTACTTCATCTTAAATGAAACAAAATAAATGAAATTATCCAGTCATTACCTTATATAATCATCTTTACATGGCCTCTAATTTATGGCATTCTTTAAAACTAAAACTTAACTCACTGATCTCTGCTTACATGATCTTAGACAAAATAATATGGAGATGGTCTTTGTATCATCTCCTCTCCCTATTCTCTGCTCCAGATTCAGGTATCATATTGTACAAAAGTACATACATTGCCATCCTGCTTATTCTCCCCATTGTTTTTCCTCTAATGTTACATAGCTCAAAAAATGTTATGGATATCCATTTGATTGAATGGGAATCAGCAAACCTGGGGCCCATCTTCTCATCTTTCTCTATGCACTATCTTCATAATACATCCTTTAAACACATAGTAACTTCAAAATATACAGTCTCAGAACACCTCAAATTTCTTACAAGTGTTTTTCTTGTTTCTACTTCAAGCTATTGTCATTTACTAGAAATGATAGCAGATAACATCCATCAGATCCGTCAGTAAGCCACCCTTTCCATTTCTATTCTCCACAATGTAGGCAGTGCAACATTATTTGCTGGCAAGACAATTACTTCCCCACATGCAAATATTACTATTCCCCCCTTTCACATTCCACAAAATGTTTAAGACAAAGTTGTCACCAATTCTATTGTTGTTGAAAAATGTTTATACCCTGAATAATCAAGCTATTTCCTATCCTGAAACTCACCCCTTGTAAGCCTCCTACATTTTAGCCTCATGAATCTGCTTTTCTCCATGGCCGCCTTTGTCCATTCTGTTTTCTTCCTTCTGTTATTACCTACCATACCACTCTGAAGAGTTAAAATCTGCTTAGCTACCAGAACTCAGCTCTAATATTACTTCCTCAAGGAAGGTTAGAATTATACTAGGTTTTTGTTTTGTTTTTTGGTATTTCCCCCTCCATGTGTGCCTGAGCAGCTGCTCTGCTGAGTCTCCACGCAGCTCTGTATGTCAAACCCAAGGTGGTGTGGGCTCACAGGGGACTCTGAGATTGCAAAGATCCATGAGAGTTGTCCACAGGAGTTGTATCTTCACTAACCACTTCTCTTGGCTTTACATACTCCAGCTCTGGGATTCCCTTCAAGGTGAGAGGTCTGTGCATATCCCTAGGAAAGGGGATGAATCCAGGCGTCTGAGCAGCATCGATGTTGGGGCCTCACTTTGATGGCACCTTACAAATGGCACCATTTACTTTTCTTATATAGCACTTAATAGAGGTGTCATTTGGTTTACTGTGACTATTATTTATGTGCTCATTCAATTAATGTGTGCATAAATTAGTACATTGTGAACTCCAGAGAGGCAGGACCTTGATCTGATTTTGCTCTCCCCTTTATTTTTAGTGCTCAGGAGAATTCTTGAAACTGAGTAGCAAATAAAAAAGTGTTTACTTAAAAAGCATCTCACAAATAATCTGATGAATAAAATCAAAGCAACTAGACTGTTTAATAAACTCATGACATTATCTAGTCCAAGCTTAACAAGTTTTCAACTCTCAACTCTAACTTCTCATCAAGTATCAAGGTGTTTTTCACTGTGCACTTTTAATAATATAGTATTTAAGAAGGCAGTGCATTCTATGGTTGAGCTTCTGTAATTTATTGGATCAGGCTTTGCTGTGCTGAATTAATCTTCTAAATTGTCACTCCAACGATATTGGGCCTTGTGTGAGCAGTAGTGTCTGCTTTATTGACCACAACATATGTTTTTATATGCAAACACAATATATTATTTTCCTTATGTGTTTATTTTTACTATGATAAAAAAATTATTTGTTTTATTTCTCATAATACTTATCTTTCTCATAATACTGTAGGGCAGAATTTTTCACAATAAAATGTGGATATTTATTTCATTAAAATTGATACTGAGATAATTGTAGATTCACAGGCACATATAAGGAATAATAGAGACAGAGCCCATGTGAAATTTTCATGGCTCCTGCACGACAACATTTTACAAAACTATAGCATAGTTTCACAATGAAAATAGTAATTTTAATCAAACCTACTGATTATACTCCTTTATCCTCAAATTTACCTTCATTCAATTGTGTTTGTGTGTATATGTTTTATTAACATAACATAACATAACATAACTGTGTTTATTTCTATACAATTTTATCAGATATGCAGATTCTCGTATCCCTCACCACATTCAAGTTACCGAAGGGTTCCAACACGACTATAACTTCTTTTGTTCTATGATAGAACAACTATGCCCATCACATTTGAAACTTCAAAACTTACCCCTAGCAACCACAAATCTGCTCTCCATTTCCACAATTTTGTCATTTCAAAAATGTTACATAAATTGAACCGTATATATAACCTTTTTGGAATGGCTTTTTACACTCAAATGACATGGAGCTATGTTGTAATTATGAATCATTCGTCCTTTTTTATAACTGAGTATTCCATGTTATGTAAATGTATACTCGAATTTAACCAGACGTTCATTAAAATATATTTAGGCTATTTCCAGTTTGGGGATATTATGAATGATGCTGTTATGGGCATTCATATGCAAGGTATCGTGTGAAGGTATGTTTTTAGTGTTATGGGGTAAATGGCAAAAAGTCAATTGCTGGGTTGTATGGTAATTGCATAGATTTACCATTTAAAAAAAATGTATCCCTAAACTTTCACCACTTGTCATAATAAGGTGATTTCTGAATAGCAGAATTACTTGAACATACGATTATTAATATACTTGAGTAGTTCATATGCAAATTTATTTTAGACACTCATCCTCAGCTAAGAGACTTGGTTAGTGAAGGTGCAACTCCTGGGAACCATGCTTCTCTCATGGATCTTTGCAACTCTCGGAGAGTCCCTTGTGAGCCCACACCACCTTGGGTTTGACATACAGAGCTGTGTGGAGACTCAGCAGAGCAGCTGCTCAGGCACACATAGACCCAGGAGCTTTACATAATCCAGCTCTGGGATTCCCTTCAAGGCAAGAGGTCCGTGTATGTCCCTAGGAAGGGGGATGAATCCAGGCGGCTGAGCAGCATCCGTCTGGTGGCCTCACTTTGATGGCACCTTACAAGATAAGATATGCTGGCTGGGAATTCCAGCCAGCCACCAGCAGCAGGGTGGAGCCTGCTTGAGACTGGATGGAGCCCTCCGTCCCCCGCCCCGCAATCTGTGCAGCTGTGTGTGGGAGCTGCCAGCCGGCTCTCCCTTGCCTTCAGGGTCAGCAGCTTAACTATTTCTCTCTCTGGTAACGAGTGCACCTGTACAGTGTTGGCAGGGCATTATACTTTTTACAGACAATAGTGGTGTAGAGCCAAGTGATGACCTTCCCGTTTTATGGCTTGATAGCTGTTTATACATTATATATGGAATTGTGTGCCTGTGCTCCAAACTCACTGAGTCATGCAGGATGTTTACCTCAGCCTCTCCTGCCTGGCTGCAGTGCAGCCATATTCCTCACAAGATGCTAGCGAGGTTACAGAGAAAAAAGGAATGCTTTTATACTCTTGGTGGGAGTGGAAATTAGTTCAACAATTGAGGAAGACCGTGTGGTGATTCCTTAAAGATCTAGGGACAGAAATACCATTTGACCCAGCAATCCCATTACTGGGCATATACCCAAAGGAATATAAATCATTCTTTTACAAAGACACTTGCATGCATATGTTCACTGTGGCACTATTCACAATAGCAAAGACATGGAATCAACCCAAATGCCCAGCAATGATAGGCTGGATAAAGAAAATGTGGCATATATACACTATGGAATACTATGCAGCCATGAAAAGGAATGAGATTATGCCACTTTCAGTGATATGGATGAAGCTGGAAGTCATTATCCTTTGCAAACTAATGCAGGAACAGAAAACTAAATATCACATGTTCTCACTTTTAAGTGGGAGCTAAATGATGAGAACATATGGACACATGGGTGGGCACAGCACACACTGAGGCCTGTCAGAGGGCAGGAGGTGGGAGGATAGAGAGGATCAGGAAAAAGAGCTAATGGATACCTGGGTGATGGGATGATCTAAGCAGCAAACCACCATGGCACATGTTTACCTATGTAACAAACCTGCACATCCTGCACGTGTACCCCTGAACTTAAAAGTTGGAAATTAAAAAAAAAATTACTTTACATACTCTTTCCACCCTTACTGAGATAACACAAAAGTCAACTGAAAAAAAAAAAAAACATTTCTTACTGTCAACAGTTTTACTAATAGTTCAAATGATATGAGCAATCTCAGGCTACTGGTTAACAAACTTTGTGATGTTTGAGACCAGCTTTTTATGTCTTTTTTTCCCACTTTAGGACAGGCTCTTATTCTGATTAATATGCAAGTTTCTAAGATATACTTCAGGGTACCACCTGTACAATGTAGTGATTTTAGCTGTGCGATTTTTTTTTTTTTTTGAGATGGAGTCTTCGCTCTTTCGCCCAGGCTGGAGTGCAGTGGCACAATATTTTATTTTATACTCTGACCACTACAAACTGTCACTGACATTTTCTGGCTTCCTATATTGCATAAATTTGAGGTTTGTTTATAAGCCATTTAGATGGACAAGATATATTCTGTTAAAAATATTTCATAGATAAATCTCAGTTAGATTTCCACTAGTATATACCACCAGGAGGTCATATTAGCATGTTTAAAAGCGAATTTGACCACATCATTATTTTAATTTAATTCATGAGCATTTCTAGGGGAAATGGGGAGGGAACTTGATTTTATTCAAGCTATTTATCCTTTCTTTTCCATCCATTTTCTTAGTTTGGAAGGTCCTAAATGTATTTTTATGACATATTTGGAATATATGTATCTATATCTATCTCTGTATGTGCCTTATGTGCTTTTCATGGTTTACTGAAAAATGAAATAAAAATGACCTCCTGTCCATAACATCATTGGCCAGTGGTATTTTTTCCTAGTAGATTCTACCGCAGCTTCTTCTGAGAGGAAAATACTGATAACTCTCATCATAAAGGTGTTGTCAACCTTTACTCCCATCTCTAAAACTCATTTGCAATCTTGCGCTAAACCTAATTTCAACAACACTCATATTGATTTTTGTGTGTGTGTGTGTGTGTGTGTGTGTGTGTGTGTGGTCATGTTTTGCAATATCCGTGGTAGGAATCTTACATCATGAGCTATTAGAACATTTCTGAGGAACCTCATTCTATAGGACATTTTTTATTTAGTATTCAATATGAACTTTATCAAATCTGAATATTTTAGTGAGTGTCATAAAACTGGCAAACATAAATTAATTTTAAAATAAATGAGCATACATTTGAAAAAAATTGCTGTAGTCAATGCCTCTAATATTGAATAAAGTAAATAAGAAGCAAAATTTTTAAAAGGACACAAAAGAAGAAATACAAATAGGCTTTGTGCCTTTAAATAGTCAGATTCATGTGTCAACTCGAATCCCATATTAAGTCAAATGCATTTCTTCATATGACAGTTATATAACATAAATATTGTCATGATGGTGACACAGTATATTAGTTTAGAAGAAAAAGAGCAGTTTTGGAAGATAGGCTTGCTCAACTTTAAGAACTGTATAAATATTTTTCAATTGCATTGCCTAAGAAAGCTTTCTACATTCTAAAATCATTCATTTAAATAAATGTATTATTAAGAGAAATATTCACTTTATTTAAATGATATTTAAATGCTAACTTTGACAGCATCAGCAAAGTAAAAGAGAAAGGAAACATTAAAAGACCAAAGAGAGGGAAAGAGCAGCCAGCCATGTTAAATTCATAACATACACCAAACATTAAAAGTATGACTGTCAAATAAACATGGAGGTATTTTGTACATTTTTTATATATTATTTTTACTTAGTTTTTCTTTACGAATCATAAAGACAAAATTGAAAGTCACATTTCACTTTTGAGTGTATTTTGTATTTATATACTAAAATGTACTTTTCTTTGTTTTGATTTAAAAATAAAAAGAGATCCACACTTCTCGTAACTTTACTATATATTTTTTTCATGAGCCAGAAGGTCATTATCCCTAGCTGGGAAAGAACAAATCACATTTAAGCCCTTGAACTTGACTTTTTGTGAAAATAAGGAACAAATAAGAAGAAAATTCTCTTATTCTCAGACCCCCTAAAGAGGCAATTTCCCCAGAATCCCTGTTGTGAAAGGCTGGGGGTGGGGGCCAGCTATAGAAACTAGACACTTCAAGATATAAGCAAAAAAAAGTATATGTGAGTAGATTATCTTTAATATCACTACCAAACCTGATTCTGTATGTTTCTATAATAGTCCTTTACAATAATGTAGCTAATAATGGAAAATGCAAATATCCAAATATTACATAACTATATCCCATCATGAACTTACATTACACTGCCCAGTCCCTCCATCATCCTGTAACACATGGATTAATTTACTAATCCTACAATTTCTCTTTATTCTCCCTTCTCCAGAACTCATTGAAAACTTGAGAAAACTTGCTTTTAAATGACTTATGGACATTTGATACAATTATCATTCTTTCAAATATGCCTTTTAGGTTTTTTGTCTGTTTGTTTTTGTTTTGTTTTGTTTAGCTTAAATCAATCTCCCTTTTCCACCTCTTTCTAAAGATAATAAGCCTTGGATAATTTATGTAGTTATTACCATACTCATTCAAACTCAAATTTGACAACTAAGCTTTCAGCTTCTGGAAAACACAAACATATTTTATTCATCTTGGTATGCTCACAGTATAGTACAGTACTTTTCCCACATAAACACAGAGGTGTTTTAACCCTCCACATGCTGAACACATGATTGCATAACTGAATTGCAAATTATCCAGGTAGAAAGATTTGTCCAAGTAGGTTTATAGCACCAATTTTTTATCTCTGCAACTTCAAGTTTTCTCACTTAAGAGGAAGGCTCTTCTGAAAAATATTGAATGGAGAGTTTCTAAAGTATTATCATAAAATGTTAAATATTCCCAGTGTTAATTTTTTTTTTTATTGAACACTGCAACCATCTCCAGAAAGATGGAAAGAAAAAAAAATCCAAATTGATATGGTTTGGCTGTGTCCCCACCGGAATCTCATCTTAAATTGTAGCTCCCATAATTCTCATGGGTTATGGGAGGGACCCGGTGGGAGATAATTGAATCATGAAGGTGGTTTCCCCCATACTGTTCTCATGGTAGTGAATAAATCTCATAAGATCTGATGGTTTTATAAGAGGTTTCTGCTTTCACTTCTTGCTCATTCTCTTGCTGCCACCATGTAAGAAGTGCCTTTCGCCTCCTGCCATTTATTCCACAGGGAATAAAATATTTAGCTGGCATGGTGGCTTACAACCATAATTCCAGCACTTTGGGAGGCCAAGGCAGGCGGATCACCTAAGGTCAGGAGTTCGAGACCAGCCTGACCAATATGGTAAAAACCCCATCTCCACCAGGGATATATTTAGCAATATCAAACTGCTGGGATTGGTGATTTTCCTCTGACTAGGGCTGGTTTAAATGCTCCCTCTGTGGACAGGCATCAGTTGAGTTTGGTCTTGTTTTCCTTTTTGCTCTAACAGGACAGCACTGAGTTCAATGCCTCACAATTGTTGTGTTCTCCCTCCCTCATGGTCCATAGATGGTCTCCGGACTGCACCACACTGGAACTCCCAAGGGTGGGAGAGGATGGGGATGTCAGAAATTCAGGACAGTTTTTTTTCTGTTTTTTTAGTACTTCTTTCAGCAATATGAAGTTAAAACCAGGTACCATGAGTTCTCACCTGATTTTTGGTTCTTATGAAGATTATGTGTGCGTGTGTGTGTGTGTGTGTGTGTGTGTGCGTGTGTCTGTGTAGATAGTTCTTAAACTGGTGTCCTTGTAGGAGGGATGATCGGTGGAACTTTCTACTCTGCCATCTTGCTGTTCCTCCTCTCTCCTTATTATGTCTAAATTTAGGGGGAATTTTTGTATGTTTGTTTTATATTTAGCTGTACACCAAGCTCTGTTAAATGAAACATGTATCATATTAACCTTTTAATGTTAACAAGATTAAAATCTATGCCCATGGTCTCATTATGCACACGCATAGCAGCTCTATTGACCTGAATTATTTGAATTTGCAAAACAGAGAGCTGATGATTTCATATATTCTATGTCATTTGAAAATTTCAGCTGTGCTTGCTATAGAGCTTTCCAATAAACCCTGCCATCACCTAGGGCTTTTCCAAAAGCTCAGAGGTCATGGATTTGGATTTGGAGATCCAGTTGCTATATCGCTTATCCATAGAATTAATTTGTCTTTCCCACAGCAATGATTCTGTCTCCCTCATCTTATTTACAACTGAAAAGCCATAAAATACAAGGCTTTAAGTAATACAGAGGTTCTATGCCTTCAATGTGCAATTTGGGATTTTCCTACCCGGTTAATACTTGTTCTCATAGCAGACATCTGCTATTCAAATTGTTCACTTTCTTATAACATAGCTTTTAATGCTAAAATTAATTTTTTATCTGGAAAAATCTTCCTTCTTTTGTTTTTTGTTTTTCTTGATAAACTCCCTCCCTTACATTGTTGTTTGTTAGTTTGTTTTCCTAAAAAGATAATATGGTTCTCTGTAAGCCTCAATTTATTTTTCAATTCTAACCTCTCAAATTGTCAGAGGTTATACAGTCTGCTTAAGCCATTTTTTTAAAAGACACATGCATTATGTGCTAATAAATTAATTCATCTATTGTAGTAAATAAAATACAGATGTAGTCTTCCATAAACTCAGAGGATAAAAGATCATACTAAGAAAATATTTATTTCCTACAGATGTGTGAACATCATGACTTTTAACTTCTACTATAGTTATCCTTCAAGATAATATGGTAAAATTGAGACCAGCCCAACTGCCCCATAGAAACGATGTTTATGTTTCTTTTTGAATACACATAAATTGATCCTCCCAGTCTTAAAACTTGTGAGTTAGAATTGTCTTATCTGAGTTCCTTTCTCAGGAAACCAAACATCATGCCTTCCAGATACTATAAATGAACTAAAACTTAACTAGATCACCCTGTCTGGACAATGAGACTCCAGACCCCTCATCTGTCATAATTGCCTAAATGACCACCTGGTTACTGTTGACCACCTCTTCTTTCTTACCTCTCCCTAATTCCTATTTTCTCACACATGGTTATATTTCTTCCCTCCTATGTAAGCCCTTCATTTTAGTCTATCAGGGAGATGGATTTGAGGCTAATTTCCCAACACCTCAGCTGCAACATTTGATTAAAGCCTTCTTCTCTGGCAATACACATTGCCTCAGCGATTGGCTTTCGTGCAGCAAACAACAGTACCTAACCCCTGGTATTTTGGTAACAAAATCTAAAGTTTATCTTTTAATGGGTTTAAAATATTGTTAGAGAAACATGGGAAAGCAGTTTGTCTTTCTAATCCCTACTTTGAATATATTTCAAGGGATTTAAGAAAAACATCAACCACAGACATTTTTCAAAACTATGGGTGACTTTTCTGCAATTAAACACATTTATTGACTTATGGAATACTATTATTTCCTGTCCTTTCTCCTATAAATTTTAAAGTATTTTTATGTTCTAGTTTTCAGAGACAAATAGCAAACATACTAATAATCTTGCCAGTGTTTGAAAATCTAGGTAATGAACATGACTAAACAGAGCCAAGATTACTTTTTTTTTAATTCAGAGCCTTTTGTTGGAATATATAATGTTTAAACATTTTTTTTTTTTGCTCCACCAGTCTTTGTGCTGTGGATGGGACAAGTTTCTTATCTGTTTTTACTTATGAGTAATCTTATTTTATGTAAAAATAACTTCATTTTATAAACTTAAACTTTTTTTCTGTTAAAATAAAACAAAACATTTGAGGTACAATTGAGTAATTTACTAATCAATGTGTTTATTAATACATATTTGTGTGTGCATTCTTATACAGAGTTTATCCTATGTATAATTTACCTTGTGGGTACATGTTTTTGTTTTTGTCAGTATTCGCATGGTTTACTACAAGCACAACCCCCCAGACACTCATCGCAAAGTATGTACGGCTAGCCATATAGGGTTGCTATATCATATACAAAGTAGCTCTTCATTTTCAAAAAATGTTTAGTGTACTTTTGTAACTTCGGGAGAATATGAATAAAGTTATACAAATATCATTTCAAATATACCATTATTATTATTATTGAATTGTTTCGAAACTAAATTTTAACATCACATGCATTGGCTTTGAGAAACTTAACTAGTAATAAAATATTATTAGCATCATTGCCCTGGAGTGATACTGGATTTCTCAAGCCTGTGTAACATCACCAGGGTCTCGGCTTTTAGTAATACATTTTTAAGCAAATTCTTCAAAGCAATGATATTTGGAAGACATGCTACAAAATTACAAATGATTGCACGAGGTAGTTGGAATCTTTCCTCATTTTTATAGATAATTTTGTGTTTATCATAAAATAAAAACAGGAAGTCAATACATTCAAAGCATCAGAGTAAGTCTCAAACCATTGCTATAGGCACTTACCCAGCTACTGGGTTTACTTCTTATGGCTTGAATGCAGATTGCCCTGTCCTGTTCAGTCAAACAAAACAGTCATATTTTAATGTTAAAATTGAAGCATGCTGAACATCATCATCAGTGTTTCTCCCCAGTCTTTGTCAATATTCATTCTTTCTATTTTCCTTGGGGACACAATAATTATTGCTGCCCTCTGAATAACATAAGGTCCCCTCTACAGATGCTGCTGGCATTCAGCCAGGAGCTCTCTCTTTGGTTTAGCAACCAAAGTTCAAATAGGAACATCATTTCAGTTTTAAAATGCAGAAAGTTAACCTGATTAACAATGTATGTGTATGTGTGAGTGTAAATATACATATATATATATATATATGACTCATTGTATTCTTGAGGTATACAATGCCTTCTGAGCATTGTTTACATTGTTTTTTATAGCTTTATTGAAGTATAATTGAAAAATAAAAATTGTACATATTCTGTTATGATATATGTATACATTGTGAAATGTTTACTGCAATCAACTTAGTTGGCATATCCATCATCTCATGTAGCTACTGTTTTGTGTATGTAGATGTATGCTGAGGACGATGAGGATCTCTCTCTCTCTTGCACTCTCTTGCTCGCTCTCTCTATCTTCTCTGTGTGTGTGTGCATTTTATTACATTAGGAAAATTTAAACATTTTTCCAAATTAAAATGAATAAAGTGAAAAAAAGAACAAACTCCAAAGTAACATTAGCTATTATGTTTATCTTAACGTGTAATTAAAAATAATATCTGACAGGCCAGGGCGGGGAGTGGCTCATGCCTGTAATCCCAGCACTTTGGGAGGCCTAGACGAGTAGATCACCTGAGGTCAGGAGTTCGAGACCAGCCTGACCAACATGGTGAAACCCCTTCTCTACTAAAAATACAAAAGTTAGCTGGGTGTGGTGGCATGCGCCTGTAGTCCCAGCTACTCGGGAGGTTGAGACAGGAGAATTGCTTGAACCCGGGAGATGGAGGTTGGAATGAGCTGAGATCGTGCCATTACACTCCAGCCTGGGCGACAGAGTGAGACACTGTCTAAAAAAAAATAAATAATAAATAATAATAATGCTGGGAATAGTGCTCAAAATCCTAAGGAGATTGAATAGTCAAAGAAAGGATTCTTAGCAAAGCAATTTTACTTCTGTGCAGAGGCGTGCTTCTCCTTGGACAGTTGACATGAGAGCACACCTGAACAAAGGGGCACGAGAGCCTTTATTCCTGATGCAAGTCCTGCCCCTGTACCCTTTCCCCATTGGCTGGTGTCGGGTAGCACAATCTGAACTAATCTCAGTTGGCTAGACATTTAAACTTTCTTTAGATAAGGTGGGCACATAAGGCAAAGAGGGAAAGAAGAAGGAGAAGGGGTGTCTGCAATGAGCTAGAGAGCTAGTCTCTTTTCCAAGTAAGGAAAGGAATGTGAGCTGGTACTGATAAGCCTGGTACTGTGGCGTGTCCGGGCATGTAACAAAGGCAGAAAAGAGAAAAAGGAAAAAGGGTTGGTGGGGGTATACTATGAATTAAACAATAAAGGATTGATCAGGCTATTTGAAGAGAAACCTCATTGTATCCCACAATAATAATAATAATATCTGACTACATTAGGCGTCCCAACTTTCTGTGTGGTATACTTCTCCTAATTATAATTTAGAAAAATGTTTTTTAAAAACCAATTAACTAATATTTAAAAATCAGAAGATAATTTATATTACTTTAAATGATATTCTTTTCAGAAAAAAAAACTCATTACATCCCTTTAACTTATTCAATTACTGAAAAAAAAAAAACTCATTACATCCCTTTAACTTATTCAATTACTCTTTGGGCTTAGTCTTTTTTAATCCCTCGGAATGAGTACACTAATCTCCATGTTTTGAAGGTTTAAACTCAACATCAGTAGATTAAAAAAACATGGCTTTTAAATGTGGCATGCACTTTAGAATACTGGTCATCACCTAGATGGAATCTTTTTTTCCCCCTCTAAAATGTATAGTTATCATAAAAATAATTTATTTTGTATAATTATCTAATTAATTTTTCTAGCTTTGAATGTTGCTCACAATCTGTATTCATGGCAGCATAAACCATTGGTATCGTGCCATACTCCAGTCTGTGTTCATTTAGTGAAAGTACATACTTTTAACACCATTTGTAACTGATCTTTCACATTGACTGTTGTCATTCTAGAAGATGGGCTATGATAGCTGCCAAAAAAATTAAGCATTTTAGGACCAAGAAAATTCAAAGTTTGAGAACCATGTCGAGTACGTATTATAACATTTTGTATTTTTGTCTGTATGAGACAAAACTGTGTGAAAATTAATGAGGCCAAAGGAACAGAGGCAAACTTATTTAGTTCTCTTCTCCTCCTGCCTTTGCCCCAGTAATGCCTTCTCTGATTCCTCATCCATTGATGTGGACTTTTTTCTTTTTTGTTTTTTGTCTCATTATTTCTCCCTAGCCCGTGAAATGTTTTATTTAATAATCTTAATTTTAGTCAATTTTTTTTCTCTTTTCTATGAGCCCAAAGTATAATTCAAGACATTTTGCCTCTTTCTTCATTTTTTTTTTGCAAAAAATATGATCAAGCAGTTTTTCCTATGCTATGTAGCAATTTTAGCATTGTGAATTTATATTGTGAATATATACATGTAAAAAAAGATGAAGATGAAGATTCCTGATAATAGACTATCCATTCTACTCCATTTGACTAAAGTAGTCTAAATAAATCCTGGACGTTTTTAGATTACTAGTTCCATGGTTTATAGCATTTATTGGCTTTGCGTAGTGACTAAATCATCCATTCCATATTGATAAAAGTAACTAAATAAATGTATGTGATTCACTATGTATGAGTTACGACTGTACCAATAAAGAGTGAGGGAACTGAACAGGTATCAGCATACATTCTCTAATTCCTATATCCCATGTAAGCTCTTTGAGTTGGCTATAATAAAAATACAACAGTTTAAACATTCAGGATTATAAAACATATGCCTAGTCTACTTCTGGAATGTTTGTGTAAGCCTACCATAAACTGACTATCTTACAGTTAACTAAACACTCTGGGTAAAATACAAAAAGAAAATCAATATTCAATGGTTATACAACATGAACAATAGCAGGTAACTTTTGAAGCAAGTTAAAATTTTGAGGGAGCTATGAACAAGCTATGATCACTGTATTTTGTGGCTTGTCACTGAGAGAAGACTGCGGTTGTTTGATGCAAGAAGGCTTAAACTCCAATTAATAGTTTGCCGTCTTTCTCAAATGAAGAACCAGGGAACAGAGTCCAGGCAACAATGGCTGCATGAGAATTAGTCAGAAGAAAGAGTGGAAGAAGAGGAATTGAGATTTAGTTGAGAATTAAATGGATGTTCACAGATTTTTCAGGTTAAATCTAAACAAACTAAACAAAGCATCAACATTCTTTAGAATAATGTAGCAGAATCCACAGTCTTCAACCATTACATTTACAATGCTTAAGCTACAAACCAAAATGTTTGATGTACAAAGAACCAAGTAAATATGGGCCATTTCCAAGTAATACTATAGCCACCAGAGGGGGTCCCTGATATGACCCATATTTTAGAACCATCAGAAGATTTTAAAAGAGCTATGATAAATATATTCAAAGAGGTGAAAAAACACACATCTTAAAAGAAAATAACAGAAAATCTTAACAGAGAAATGAAAATTATATGAAAGAACCAAAGGAAATGTTAGAATAAAAAATACTAAAAAAAATTATGGGCTTAATAGCTTTATAAAGTGACAGAGAAAATAATCAATAAACATGAAAATAAATTAATGATTTTTGCCATCTGAAGAAAATAAAACATTGAGAAACTGAACAGAATCTCAGGGACTTGTGAAATAGGAAGCACATCCCCATCTAAATATTAAAATCTGAAGAGAAAGAACAAATCTTAAAAGTAGCAAGAGAAAAATGACACTTTAAATAAAGGGCAAAAATTAAATTGATTAACAGTTTATTTCTCACCAGAAATTATGGAGGCAGAAGATAATGAAATAATATTTTAAGTTTATGAAAGAAGAATAACTGTCAATGTAGAATTCTACATTTAACAGTATTATTTCTCAAGAAGTAAGGCAAAATAAAGACAATTACATATTTAAGAAAACTAAGAATTCACTGCCATAACTTCCATATGACAGTAAGTGCTAACTACAGTTCCTTCAGATTGAAGAGAAATAATAACAATAAAATTTTGATATATATCAATAAATAAGTGGCATCAGAAATGTTAAATACCTGTATAAACATGAAAATTGTTTTTTTCTTTATTTTTGTCCTTTGACTCTATTTGTAATACATATTATACTTCAGCTTAAGTCATCAACTAAAACCTTATCATGTGGAGTTTACAATATTACCACATTTAAAAACTATCTAATATAAGGAATGAGAGGAGTATAAGCAGAATCCCATATTGGAAGTTTTCCATGCTTTATAAGGATAGATACAACATGAAGTCCAAGTAGACTGTGAAAAGGTAACAACATAGTTTAGTACTGGCACTTTGGAAAATATATGACAGTCTCTCAGAAAGTTACATATACACCATACATCTATTATATAACCCGGCCATTCAACTCCTGGATATTTACCCAAGAAAAATGAAAATACTCAAAGATTTGTACCAAATTTTTACAGCAGTTTTACCCAGAAAAAATAGAAACAAGTTAATATCTATCAGTAAATAAGTGAATAAAGAAAATATGACATATAAATATTGATACACCCAACAACATGGATGAACCTCAAAATATTCAAGCTGAATGAAAGACGCCAGAAATAAAAGAGTAGATACTGTATAATATAGCTTATATAAAAAGAAAATGAATATGTGCACACTAATCTAGAGTGACAGAAAGCGGGAGATCTCGAGATAAGAACTGGTTGGAGAGAGGAAGGGTTGCAAAAGGAACACTTGACAATCTTTGTGGGAGAAAATGATTTGAATATTGAATTTCACAGCCCTCAAAAATGGGTATAGAAGATGGATGGCAATCTTGAGGAACATCTTAGATTATGCCTATTGTGTGTGTGTATGTGTGTTAATACATAATTTTGTACACACATTCATGAATGTTTTGGGAGTGTGGAAGTTAGAGTTGAAAGTAGTATCATGTGAGTAATATTGGCTGTATAATGCTGAAAAAAAGGCAACTCCAAAATCGCAGTGAATTAACACAACATTAATACAAAGCCACAAATTCATTGTAAGCAAGCTGTGTATTTACTGAATTTCTGTATCATTTGCCTTCTAAGACTCAGAGCTGGGTATGGCAGTGAAAGTACTGAAAGAAGCACATTGCAGAAGGACAGAAACTTGTGTTTAGAAGAATCACACTACTAACTAATTTATTTAAGTGATGTCTTATTTTCCATTTTGTTATTCTTTAAATTAAGTTGTATTTTAATATTACTACTTGTTACAGATATATATCTGTATCAAGTGAAGGATTTTCTAAAAATTATTTATTTATGTTTTCTGCCTTCCCCTGCAACCCATTTGGGTTAGAGTTGCAGAAATAGAACAATTTAACCCAGGTGTTAGATTTGTGTAGTAATGCTTTTCAAATTGAGAGAAATTAAGGTAGAAAATGAAGTTTAGGTAGAAAATTTGGTAGACTGCTGGGACCAATTGCATTTTTTTTAATCTAGGAAATTCCCCTTCGGTTCTAAATTATTACAGATACTGAGCTGTGTTTCAATGTATTTACTTATTTTCCTTCAGACTCAAAAAATTGTCTGTAACACAGTTTCTTAAATTGAGTGCTTCACACAATAAAAATATTCTGAAATAAATGAAGATAGAACGGAGAAAAGAAAAAAGTAAACAGGAATGAAAAATTTGTAAAATGTAAAAACTGATTTATTGTGTCCTTTGTTCTTCCAGTAAATCATGTAAACATTCTTCATGCTGATGTAATCAGTGCTATAATTCGCAACACTTTCCAATGATGCATATTTTTAAATGTATGAAAATTTGTGCCACAATTTTCTTATTCAATTTGATCTCTTTATAATAATGTAAACATTTTGAATGCATATGATAGAAATAGCAGAACATTACTTAAAATTCTTTTAAAGCACATGTGAATATAGTCTAAAACTGTTCTTTATTTCCTGGAAATCTGCATCATTTTAGAGAAACTTAGAGACATATCTATTTCTTTAAAGTAAACTTGAATATCTTTTCTCTAGCTGATGTTTCTTCTTTTTCCTCTTATTATTGTTGCTGAAGTTTGAAGTTTTTCTTTAAAGATAGGATTCTGAAACACCTAGCTGAGTTTATGACAACTATTTCTGTTCCTTTGGTTGTGTTATTCTCATTGCCAATCATCTTGTTATTTTTGTAACACATATCCTGGAAGAGAAAAGGTGTTCTTAACCCACCTAAATCACAGAAAAATTTAGGGTCTGGTGATGGTGGGAATATATCAGGCTTCACCAAGATGCTATAAAAATGGACTGGAAGAATCTATGTTGATTGTTTTAAATTAACTGTAAACAATACAACTATTGTTTACTGAAATCGTATAGGTAAGCATACTCACTTTTCTCACTGCAAAACACAATTTACTTTTGCCTAACCCAATCAAGAAATTCCAGAAAGAAATATTTCTCATTGTCTCCCATTATCAAGGTTCCCAGAACTCTTATATTTCCTCCAGGCTGTACAAGCTCCACATACACGGCCTTTGGCAACCCACTGGAGTAATCAATGTCACCTTTCAAAATGTTCCAATTTCAGGAGCTTTCATTCTACATCATTTTCAGATAATCACAATCTTCAGAACCTTTTCCTTTTTCCCAAAAACTTTCAAGAAAAACAGAATTTCATGTACACCATGATATATTCAGAGCTCTCTAAACATTGGCATACTTTATATACCAAAAGTATTCTTCCTAGGGAAGAATTCCTAATGCTACGCATATGAAACCATGTTGGAAGACATGAAATTGGAAAAGGAGTTTGAACTTGCAGAAGGAATTTCAGCTGGTTGTCAGAAACACCACAGGAGTATTTTGTGTGTTTGCAGTTTTGTGCTTTCTGGGTAGATAAAGATAAGTGGGGCTTTGTGTAGTTAATTCTTCACTGGGTTTTAAAATGTATTTTATTGATGTATTCAAATAATATTGTCAGCTATTTATGTTCTAACTGTGCAGTTGGAAAAAATGGAGCTACTATGTTTTAAAAATCTGCAAAAGCTAAAATAGCTTCTCTACAATTGCACATATCATTTTGAAGGTATGTTTCTCTGATATATTTAGTCTTTGCTGTGGAATTCAGTAAATTAAGATGTTAAACATTATCCATTCAACTATGTTTAGCTTTGTTTATTTTTAACATGCTAATGTCTTTAATTAAAACTGCACCTGTTACCATCAGTGAATGTAAGGGTCTCATGTTTCCATTACAATTCTATTTTTAGAACTTTTTCTGGTATATCAGCTCTGTCAAACATTTTCAATTCTATATTGATTTAAACTAGATTTCAATACATAGCCATGAATATTTCTTCAAGCATCTCTTTTGTTGTTACTATTGTTGCCCTCCTCGCTTTGTTTTAGAAAATTTCCAGTGAATTATTGGGACATTATTAGGTTTCTTTACAAAATAATGCATGCTGTGGAAGCTAAAATAGTCAATAAGCAACACCATTTTTCTCACAATATTTTTAATGAAAATACTATCTTCCACATGCATTATCTTTTTTACTTTATTAAAAGGTATTCTCAGCTGGGTGCGGTGGCTCACGCCTGTAATCCCAACATGTTGGGAGGCCAGGGCAGGTGGATCACTTGAGGTCAGAAGTTCAAGACCAGCCTGGCCAAAGTGACAAAACCCCATCTCTACTAAAAATACAAAAATTAGCCAGGCATGGTGACACATGCCTATAATCCCAGCTACTAGTGGGGCTAAGGCAGGAGGATCACTTGAACCTGGGAGGCGGAGGTTGCAGTGAGCCAAGATCGTGCCACTGCACTCCAGCCTGGGCAACAGAGTGAGACACCATCTCAAAAAAAAAAAAAAAAAGGTATTCTCCACCATGATTAGCAAAGGATACTGCATAGGATAAGCTCACAGGTAATATTTATTGAATTCGAGAAAAGCTAATGAAAATAACCATAAACACAATTTCAAATTCACACCTCAGTATTTACAAGGATTTGGGGTTCCAGATTTGCATCTAAGATGGCCTTTTTCTACCTTCGTATCTGAAGCAAATCTTCAGGTATTCAGTCTGCTTCTTTCTTTCCATAACTAACTCTATACATTTTTCCCCTTGATATTTTGTTCCTTCCTAGCATGGCTATGTACATACTGTCTTTAAAAATACTCAATTTTTGAAATTTCTTAAAAAAATTACAAATGTAACTTACCATTTGATGGCATATTCAATGGATTGAATGTTTGTGTTTTCCCAAGTTTTTGTGTTGAAATGCTAATAACCAATGTAAGGAGACTTGGAGGCCGGGCCACTGGGAAGTAATCAGATCATGAGGATGAAGCCCTTATGAATGGGAGTAGTGCTTTTATAAAATAGATCCCAGAGAGCTCTCTCATGCTCTTCATGCCCCGTGAGAATTTGGAAGTCAGTAGTCTGCAATCTGGAAGACAGCCCTTCGCCAAAGTCAAATATGCTGTGCCCTAATCTGGGACTTCTAGCCTCCAGAATTGAAAAAAAAAAATTGTTGTCTTTAAACAGCCAAGTATTATAACAGCCTTAAGTAACACAGCTTATAACTGAACACTAAAGGGAAATGTAAAAGAAAAATGTAATTTTACTAATTGCTGAAGGCACAAAATCCTCACTTTAGAATCTTGTTTCCTACTGGATGGATGCTGATTTTATTCATGAAATCTAAAGTAAACGCAATATATCATGGTCTTCCCTCATTTATTTATTTCATAAATATTTATTGGGCAATTTTTCTGAGCTGGGCACTGTATTAAACATCAGGGCTTCAACAACATATAAAAACATCCACTATCAGAGAATAATTCTAGTAGTTTAAGGAGTGATATATTCACCGATGCTCTTTATTTTTCTCCAGAACTTCCTTGCAAAAAATAAAAACTTTATATATTTGAGTTGGGTAGAATTGTATACACACAATTGGATCCAAGTTCTACACACAAACATGTATATCTCATCAGGTCTTCAAATAGTTTATTGACTGATTTATTCATTCAGTGCATATGTACTTTACATCTTTTCTGTGGAAAATTCTAAGACTGAAAGAGTGCTGAACAAAGCACTCTCTGTTTCAATCCTCAAGGAGTTTGCCTTTTTTAAAGTCTATAAAATTGAAAAAATGTTAAAAAAATAACCACTTCATGGAAACTAAAATCATATAGATAATATTTCAGATAAATGTAATACTCATACAGTTTTCAGCTCTTAGAGATTGTAAAGATAAAGATCCCATAATCTCTTCTTTTAATAAAGATAAAATAGGGCCAGAAATATGTCATGACAACAATGGCAAGGAAATAGAATAGCTAACAAAATATCTGCATTTAGTAAACTGAGCATATGTTTTCTGGAGAAAATAAAGACAAGGACTTCAGCTCACTATAGGCATTCTGCTTTATTCTTCATTTGAGCCAGTATGTTAATTAAATCTGATTTGGACCACCTCTGGAGCATATTTCCACCTCTTAGCACACTTACTGCCTCCTTTCTTCTTTTTATATAAGCATCTTTACAAAAAATGTATAGAATTGTCCTCCTGTTGTTCTTTTGACACTCATGATTTTGTTAGATACTCAAACAAAAATGCACCAAGGAAGCTACATAGACTATTATTAACTGATTCTTTTTTGACGAGAAAATTCCAAGTTATAATCATGAGCTCCTAGGTCAAATAGTAATTAAGTCATATATAATGTGCCATTACAAATTACTTTTAAGAAATTAATTTGAATATAATAATAAAGAGATATGGATAGTCTTTGCATGGAAAAGAGTCCCAGGTTGCAGTTAGTAGTAATTACAGAACAGAATATAAACAAAACCATTCACATGACACCATTTAAAGTAGAGTTTAGGAATGGCTGGGGGGATTTAGAATATTTTAAGCAACTGTAATGTACAATTGATGAAACAATTTTAAGGCAATATCAAAAATAAATACAATTAAGTACAGATATTGAAAAATTAATTGATATAACAATGATGCAGGAGGCCACAGTAAATATAACAGTAACTATATAAGAAACTGTTATATAGTATAAGAAACTCTTATACAGTAACTATATAAGAAAACTTTTTTATCACTATCTGGAGCACCATGAATCCCTTCATTTATTCCATAACTATTGTTGACCATTTAATGTATGAAAGACACTACGTATTACATCTATGAGTGACTATAGCCCTGCTCTGCCATCTTGGAGTTATAGTCTTTCAGGGAGAAAACCAGGAAATGGGTCATTTTCATAAAATATACTTGTTATTAAATAAGTAAAAGTCCATTATTCTGTGGGAAAACTTTGAGGAGCTCCATTGAAGAGACTATTTTCTCTCTTGGTTGCAAGTGCCTCTGTTTCCACAGATTACAATGAACCAGAGTTTTCAAAATTGATAGCCCTTTACCTCATAACTTAAAACAGTTCAGAACCCAGACTTTAGATTTGTGACAAGGGCTAAGGTTAATAAACTTTGGGGAGGTAAAATTTGCATACAACTTGCATGTGTTCCTTGAGAGGTGAATAAGCATTTAAAATGCAGAAATGTAATAGTTAAAAAAAAGTATACATAACTTCAAGACTCAGATATTTTTCTGAGTTAAAAGTCAAGTAAAAGCAATCTCAGTGAGAGTACAATATAAATTTCAGAATCCATAAAATATTAACTATTTTCCAAGGTCAGTGCATCTAAACCTTTTTCAAGCCTATTTTTCACCGGGATATATAAAAAGAAACTTGTTATTATTTACCATTTGAAATTGTATTTTTATATGAACTAAATATAAAAAGGAAAATAAGCCAAAGATGCTATTTCTTTTCTTGGAACAGCCAGTGTTTTCCAAATTCTCTTTCCTTTCCCTCACCTCTCCCCTGCATATGCCTAAAATGAAATCCTCATGGCAGGAGAAAGGCACTGAAAAACATAAGAAACTCTATTTCATTTTCTTCACATTGTTAGATTCATGGTAGTAAACTCTAAATGTGATGAAAAATGTCTCTACTTGCCTGGGAGTGTGGGGAGCATTGGAAAGATAACCTAAGTTCATGGTATAGTCTAGTTTATTTTTTAAATGCATAGGTCAAAAGACACTTAAAAAATAAGTACACTGTGGTATCTGAAGTATTTGACTGAAACAATAACCGATCAATAACAAAATGCAAGCTGGTAAGATTGTAATAGCTTGTGGCTTGACTTCAGGGGAATATAGAGAAGCATAACTAAATAAATTCTCCTTTGGAGAGGAAAGTAAAGTCCAAGAGCGGGCATTCTCGTTGGTAATTGGAATCCTTTGAGACTTGTGAATGAGGGAATGAATAAGATCTAATAATTCGAACAAACTAAAAGGAGTCCAATCCATTCTAACGGTGGCTGACTTGAGAAATGCTGTTTTGTTCTTTCTGGAAATGTTAAAGCAAAGGCTGAAGAGTAACTTTCCAAAATCATTGTAAACAAAATTTCAGTTCTGCCCCCGAAGTGTAGTTAGATGAAAAGAACTATGGGTCAATGGGTGTCATGCTTTTAGAAAGGGTCTTTTTTTCCCCCTTCAGGGTTATCATTTTTGTTTTTTCTATAAATTATCCCCCTTCTACCAGACACACACAGTAGATAATGACTGCACTCCATGCAGGTGTTTCTGGTCACTGTTTTTCCCTTTTTTTTTTTTAACATACTGGTTTCAGTATACTTGAACTACACAGTAGCTGTTTCTCTTTTGAGTAAAAGAATGGTCCTCAGACAAGGGAAGCCCATTTCCTCCTTATATATGCAAAGCAAGACATCTCTTGGAATTCTTGTCACCTCCTCTTCCTTTCTGATACACGAACACTTTTATGCTTTACCTAAAGACTTGTGGGTGAAAGACCCTGAAAGACCCTCTTCCCTTCCCTCAGCTCAGGCCAACCTGGGTTATAACTTACTTGCTAGCATTCTTCTGTATGATGAGGCTGAGAGTATACACTGTGATTTTTACCCAAGATGGAAGTCTTTTCTTTGTCCCTTCTGTCCTTTTTCTCTTGACACTTCTATAAAAATAATTTTAAAAAATCTTTAAAAATAAATCACTAAAAAAATCAGCTAATGGTTGCTTCAAAAAAACCTTACATAAAACATTATTTATCATACTCAGCCCATTCCTCTAGATTCCTTGTAACTCCTATTTTTCCCTTGGAACATTCACTAACCACTCATCCTTAGATCATATATACAGACTGATGATCTCTCAAATATTTTAGAAGTGGTATGGAAACTTTTAAATCAATCCCCCTGCCATCTCCCATCTCTCTCTCTCTCTCTCTTTCTCTCTCTCTCTCTCTCTGTCTCTCTCTGCTTCTCACTTCTGTGTTGGCATATTTGGTCTCCTCAATAATATTATAAACTTTTAAAAATTAGAAACATATCTTTTATGTTTTCTTTGTGTGTGTGATGATATATTGGTAAGCAGTGAGAAAGAAGTTAATGAATAGTTAGTAAATGAAAAAATCAAGTCCTTATGAGAAGAAATGGAAATAAAAATGTGCCTGTTTTGTCTAGGCAAAATGCAAAATGAGGGACGTTGATTCTCTAAAACACACATTAGTTTTACGGCCATATAAATCATGAGTGAAATTCTGTACAGTTATCAAGTGAGTGAACTGGGCTGCAAACACAAGCCTATATGACTCAAAGGTTAATGTACTTAGTCAATGCTTTCAACAAAAGAATCCAGCGGCTCTTCTGAGATTATAATGCTGCTTACTTCCGATAAAGCTTATGCTAAAAAGACAAAAATTAGTTTATCCATCCAATTGTTAATACTTGTCAAATAATGACTTGATGCTGAGCTATTAAATTGGCTTTAAAAAATGTGGGAGACTGTCTCAAGGAGATCCGAGTCTAGTGGAAAAAACTGATGATAAAATATTAAACATAGAAAATGGGATAGGACCTTAGACTGCAAGTGTATACCATAGGTTATGGGAACACAGAAGGTATATTTTTAATTTCATATGGAAGTGAGGATGTATTTTAGGAGCCTTTATCTGTTATCACTATAGCCATGACCCCTAAGGCTAAAATTATTTTTTGTTTTAATTAAAATCAGAAGGATAATGAACATTTCTTACCTGGTTCCATTACAAATTGCTTACTCATAGTTTTATTTATGATTATTCAATATAACTGAAGTATTAATGGAGATTGTTAATTTTTATGATTAATTTTGTTATTAGATAAATTTGCTATAGAAATCTTGGTATTAGATTGGTGCAAAAGTAATTGTGGGTTTTGCCATTGATAGTTATTTCAAAACCCGCAATTACTTTTGCACCAACCTAATATATTAATAATATTCTCTGGTTATTTAGAATTCACAACAATTCAAAATTATTGAAAGAGTTAGCAAAAATGAATATGAGATATAAAAGTTTCTCTCTCCTTTTTTTTTTTTGTTGTTATATAGAGTAGCCTCCCCTTATCTATGGGAGATACGTTCCAAGACACCTACTGGATGCTTGCAACCACAGACAGTACCAAACTGTGTGTGCTATGGATTTTCCTATACATACATACCTAGGATAAAGTTTAATGTATACATTAGGCACAATAAGAGATTAACAACAATAACTAACAATAAAATAGAATGATTATAACACTATGCAGCATCACTACTGCTGCGCTTTGGCACCATCACTAAGTCAGATGAGAATTACTTGATCACAAGAACTGCACTACCATGACAGTCGACCTGATAAAGCCGACTACTAAGTGACTGACTGGAATGTAGTGTCTCCAGCACAGAGACACTAAGCATAGTGATGATGCACATGGGAAGTGGGACCTCACAGGACAATCCAAGATTTTGTCACACTACTCAGAACAACGTGCAATTTAAAGCTTAAGATTTGTTTGTTTCTGGAATTTTTCATATAATATTTTCAGACCACAATTGACCACTGGTAACTGAAATCGCAAAATGCTAGTCCAGAGATACAGAGTGGATTACTGTATTTGACAGTAGTTTGAACATCTATGAATCTATATTCATTTTTGAAGCAATGACTAAGAAATTTTAAAATTCAAAAAAACACACTCAGCTTATTCTAAGAAAAAAATCATTATGATAGTACATGGACACATTTTAAAAATTTTCTTTATACTTTACTGTTAGTGTTTTCTCTAAAATGTTATTTTTTTCCAATATATGTGTATGTATATGTGTTAGTAAAATTTTATTTAGTGATGTTATTCTTATCTTTTAGTAAGTTTAAAATATAAACTTTTAAATATAGAAGTCATAGCACAGCATAGATAATAATTATTTTGCATTCTCAAAGATATCTGAGAAGTTGTATTGGAGGGACTGCAAAGTAGAAATCAGGTAACAAAAAAGAGAAAAGATTGCATTGCTGGTGAAAATTTTCCTTTTAAAGTTGATTCATTTCCTTGTTCATCAAACAGAATTTGTGGTTGTAGCTCTGATTAAAGACAACACTAGCACTTTTATGGAGAATATAACGAAAAGAATTCAGTAAATCAACACAAAAATGAAATCCACTGAAAATACGTGTATGTATTAACTTTGAAGCTATTTTATCATCAGCAATTTTACTTGATGAGCACATAAATAAAGAGAATACTAAATAAGATATAGGAGAATAGTATAATCTTCCATTGGCATTTCACATTTTTAATCCATGTGAAATATACATTAACCTTATATTATGCAATCACCAGCCAGTCATTTGCCAATTTGCCAATAACAACAAAGAAGCTTTCATTCTCATATATATATATATATATATATATATATATATATATATATATATAAAGACATATATATACACACACACACACACACACACACACACACACACACAGAATTTATCCTGTTCCCAACTTTATATGCCAAGTATTTTTTCAGACTATTCAAACATATGCATAAGAACAAACATAATGACTTCTGAAGTCAGCTTTGAGTTTTTCTTTTAATTTAATATATTCCTTATTTGGGGAGGCATGTTTCTAAAGTAATTAAACAAATATTTGTTTGAATGACTATTAAAAGAAAGGAACTACAATAATTGTTTTTCTTTACTTTTGCCCAAAGTAGAGTACAGGAGTGTTTGTGCTCATTTATTAGAATAGCTGGTATAGTATTGATGTGTTCAAGGTCAATTACAGTGAAGTGACACCTGGGCAGTATCATACATACACTGGATGTATATTAGGGAATTTGTAATTTAAATATGATGTGTTTTATTTCATGAAACAAATTACTATTTGATTAAACATAATAGAATAACTGTAGCAATCATGTATAGATTTGAAGCCTGATACATCAATACTTAATATTTTTCAAGCCATAACAAAAACCCTAATGCTTTTTCTTTAGCAGATTTTTTTATCCTACTTTATATTTAATTTTGTTTGAAACAGTTTTGGTGTATATGCCAACTGGGTATTTATTTCTAGGTGCTTGCATATTTTGTTGTTCTTAAAATTTCAACCTCAAAAGCATTTATTAGTGTAGCAAGATTATTTTGCTGGAAATCACGAAATCTATACTCTGGAATTGTATAAAATAGGTCCTGATCTCAATCACAAACTCCAGGACCTTCTAATGAACAAATTTGTAATTTAGAATAGTTTAAATATTTTTAAAATTTGGAATTCCCAACAACATAATTTTGCTAAATTTTTCTAAAAATTCAAGGTTGATAAATACCAAATGGAGTTAAAGAGATGCAGTGGAGAGGGCAGAAGAGATGCAGCAGAAGAGGAAGTAGGGAAGGTTCCAAAAGCTAGAGAATTTTGACACACTGTTGCAGATATAAGGGGGCCACAGAGGGGCCTGTAGGCGGCAAGGTTGGCAATCCTTGGCTGACATCCAGTTGGGAAACAAGAACCTCCACCTTAAAAACACAATTCTACCAATAACCTGGTTGAGTTTGAAAGTAGGTTCTTCCTCAGAGCCTATCGAAAAGAAAGGAATTCAACCCTACTGACGCCGTAATTTCATTCCTGTGAAACCTGTAGCAAATGAAGCAGCTGTGCAACACTGTGGCCAGACTTCTAACCTATAGAAACTGTGAGATGATAAGGAAGTTTTTTGTTTGTTTGTTTGTTTTAACTGCTAATTTTGAGGTAATTAGATACATGGAATATTATCACTTATCTAGAGAAGCCATCTTGTTTTAATTACAAACTATACCTTTGGACACCACTTTTAAAATATATCTTATCAGTTTTCAAATATTAAATGTAAAGAAGAATGTATTTATAGTGAATAAATTAAACATTACTATTTATAGAGAGTAAATACATTTAGTGTTTTGTTGGAAATAGAATTATTCACTCATATAATAAAAAGTTTTGTAACAGTTATTATGTGAGCTAAAATTCTTAAATCATGTAGGTTTGTCAAAAAACAATATTTAAATCTAAAAGTTTTGTAAAAATGTAAACCACAAAATGCCACATATATGGGAAATTTTAAAGAGCTTATGAATATTACATATTAATACTTGATTAAATGAGACGTGGCCATAAGGTAATATATACTGTATATAATAATTTTGTCAGTACTATGCAATACTATATAAAATACTATAACAAACCATTTTCAATTCACAAGATAAAATAATTTAGTAAAGAGATTCCATTCAGAGAATAATTTATTCTCTATATTAAAGGTAACGTAATAGTTTAATTTTTATTTTACTGTGCCCTGTTTTTTTTTTCCAGCTTTATTGAAGGATACTTGACAACTAAAAATAATTATTTATAATCTCATGTATATGTGAAATCTGAAAACGCTGAACTCGTAAAAGTAGAGTAGAAAAGTGGTTGCCAGGGGCCAGGGAAAAGGGAAATGGGGAGATCTTGATCAAAGGGTATAAAGGTTCAGCGATACAGGGTAAGTTGTGGAGATCTAATATACAGCATGGAAACTCTAGTTAATAATAAGATACTTTATATTTACTATGTAATATTTTCTAAAAAGTATAGCTTTGATCCCTAAAATAAAAATCATTATAAGCTCTCAGTAACATATAGATATTAAAATATACATAACAACATATGGTTTAATTTCAAGTAATCAGTGTAACAACATTTTTTTTGTAAGTTGGCTCCTTTTTCCAAATTAAACATGTTTGTCTTAACAAATCCTTTATTTGGTAACAATCACAGTGTAGTTGTCAAAACAAAATGCTCATAGTTTTGCCAAATATTTTCCAACAGAAATATTGGTATTAGTTATTTAATGAGATAAACATCTGCTTTAGGACATGCTCCCCTCTGTGAACTTTGCCCTAGGAATATTGTCAATTAAGAAATCATTGTTTAAAAATAGTGGATAGCGTTTTAAGTGGAAATGTAATACTTACAGAAAATATAAACAAAAGTTTTCTTAAGAATACTTGAGTAAACAGACATTAAAGAAGACATAATATGGATGGCAAATAAGTGTATGAAAGGATGCTAAATGTCTTGTCACTAATGCAAAGCAGATTAAAAGACTTATTTAAATGGCTACAATTTAAATGATTGGCAATACCAAATGCTGTTACTAAGCTACAGGAATGTTCTTTCATTGCTATACTTTGCAAGAAATTCTAAATATACAAATGTTTACAGTAGCTTTATTTATAGTTGCCCCCAAACTGGAATAAACCAAGATATCCTTCAAAATGTGGATGGCTAAAGAATTGTGGTACATCTACACAATGAAAAATTAGTCACTGATGAAAAAGGAAAGACATACAGATAAATCCAAAATACATTATGCTATGTGAAAAGAGACAAATTGAAAAGGGTAAAAAATATATAATATGCAATTCCATTCACATGTCATTTTGGAAAAAAGTAAAATTGTAGGTAAAGAAAGCAGATTAGTTTGCCAAAGGTATGGGAAGTATGGAGTGTTTGAATAGGGAGATAATAGAGAATATTTTATGGTCATAGGACAAATCTGTGCATTACTGTGGGTAGTGAATATGTGACACTATGTATTTTTCATAGTCCATAGAACTATACAGCAAAAAGAGTGCAATTCAACCAGGAGGCTGAAGGGTCTCAGGAGATAGGACAAAATTTGTTTTAAGATTCAAACTTTATTACAAACGCATGACCTAATTGATTTAAAATAAAATATACTTAACTAGCCACATTTTATTTTAGAAGTTCAGTAATAAAAATAATGTATTTATCTATCAAGAATATTATGCAAGTGAATATTGTCTTAACTTTGCCTACTTTGTTCATTGGTAACTTTAAGCCAAACTTATAATGACCACATAGTATTTTATAGCTCGCACACAGAAACAGTTTTCTATGTTTTATAGAGCCATAACACTGATGACTTCATGCATTTGAAGGTTTGAAACAAAAGGTCAAAATGTCCTTTATTGAGTTTCATTAGTTGCTACTTGCAACATTTTTGAAGTCAGTGCCTCAGCTGACTGTCTTCAAGTCAGTTTTTTGTTTGTTTGTTTGTTTTTTGAGACGGAGTCTCACTCTGTCGCCAGGCTGGAGTATAGTGGCACCATCTTGGCTCACTGCAACCTCTGCCTCCCGGATTCAAGCAATTCTCCTGGCTCAGCCTCCTGATTAGCAGGGACTACAGGCACACGCCGCCACGCCAGGCTAATTTTTTTTTTTTTTTTTTTTTTTTTGTATTTTAGTAGAGACGGGGATTCACCATGTTGCCCAGGCTGGTCTCGAACTCTTGAGCTCAGGCAATCTGCCCGCCTCAGCCTCCCAAAGTGCTAGGATTACAGGCGTAAGCCACCGCGCCCGGCCTTCAAGTCAGTTTTAATGACTGTACAAATGACCATCCTAGTTTGAACCATTTTTATGCATTATTGACATGTGTACCTCTCTAAATGGAATAAGAAGAAATATGTTCTCATATATCAAAGAAAAAATAAATTAGAATTTCACAGTGGTTCCAGGTGTTAATTATATTTTATCATGGTGTGACAATTGTAGTCAGTAAATTAATAAGTAGTAAAGTATATTACTTTAACAGAGTATCTCTGCCAAAGAACGCAGATAAATCCACCCTGTTACCCATTCCCTTAATTTACCCCAATCTCAATGAGCTGCTCAGATCTTGGACATAGGACAGTTCAAGCAATTAAAGCATCCACCTTCAATCGGAGACCTATAAGTAATGTAGATTTATCTATATTGCTCATGTATTCTATAGTCTAAAAGGTAAGCATTTCATATATCCTTTGCAACAATCGCTGTTATATTTAGTGTTTTGAAATTTTCATTTCACTGCATAAGGAAGTATTAAAGTATGTTCTATACAAGAGTAGCAATGCATCCCCAAATCTGTGATACATACATAAAATCATGTAATAATTTCGGGTATCTTCCTACATATTGGAAGAGTGAAAGAATTACCTGTATAGTCCTCGGTTTTGTTTGCTCAATAAAATGTGCTTTAAGTATAAAATAGAAGACTTAATGGTCTTATAAAGCCACTTTGTACATACATTTTAAAGACAAGCTTATTATTTCAAATACTATTTCCCAATCAGTAAAGAAAAAAGACACATATTTTAGGAATCATTGTCCCTTAAATTTTCCTAAGATTTTCATTCTATATATTTGAATTTTTTAATGATTGGATAGATCTTGAAAATTAGAAACATTTCATAAAGGAACATTACCAATCATTCCTCAGGATTAACATTTTATATTAGTACATATAATAGTCAGACAAACAAAATCACCTGATTGCTTTCTGCAATATAAAATACAACAATTCTATCAAGATTTTATACAGTCATCTAGGCTTATAGACTGCTGCATCTAAGTAAACCAGTTTGCCTGGAAGTACTGGATTGGATGCATTGTGTCAGATAAACACAGTTCTGATAACTGATATGTTAAAGTACATTAAGAAATAGGAAATCTTATTTATTGTCACTAAAGTGACACATCTTAATTGTAGAAAGATATGAAAGGGTATTGGTTTTGCTACTTCCAAAAAAAGATTGACATTTTTCATATGAATTCTGATTTAGCCACTAACTCTGAGGTAAACTGTTATTGAAAGAAAATAACATTTTAGGTTACAAACTTTACATAAACTAAGAGTGAAGGATATTTATAAATTCAACACATATATATTGTAAAACAATGAAAGATTAAAATATTTGAGTTTCTAAAATAGATGAAATTTTTAATAAGCCATTGAAAATAGTATAATGTTGAAGACTATTTTTCAGAAACTTATGATTCTCTTTGAATGAAATTTTTGTTTTGTTTTTCCTATCACAAATATATAAACAAAATCTCCATAAGCATATAGTCAGAAAACTAGATCTACTGAGGATAAATTTGGAATCATCTGAGGATACATGAATGCTTTTAGCCAACCCTATTCGTGTTATAAACAAATGAAAATCAGGGCAGTAAAAATTGCTTAAGGGTTTCTTGGAAAACATTGCTCTTGTTTCTGTGTAAGTAAGTACATAGAAAGGCAGATGGATAGATGAATGGATGGATGGATGGATGGATGGATGGATGGATGGATGAATGGATTCACGTATGGTTAGATAAAGTTATGACAGATAAATTTAGATAAATATATATAGAAAGATATATTTTAATACTTAGATTGATAAATATAGACAGATGCCACAATGTTGTGTCTCAGATATGATAATTGAAAGATATGATTTCTACACCTTAACTTGATTGATTCATTTTTTCAACTTCTGTTTTTAGGTTTGGGGGTACATGTGCAGGTTTGTTACATACGTAACTTGTGTGTCACTCAGGTTTGGTGTTCAGACGGTTTCATCACCCAGGTAGTGAGCATACTATCCGATAGGTAGTTTTATGACTCTCATCTTCATCCCACACTCCCCCCTCAAGTAGGCCCTGATATAAACTATTTTTATCTTTGTGTCCGTGTGCACTCAATATTTAACTCCCACTTACAAACGAGAACATGCGATGTTTGGTTTTCTGTTCCTTGGAGAATTTGCTTAGGATAATGGCCTCCAGCTGCTTCCATGTTCTTGCAAATGACATGGTTTTATTCTTTTTATGGCTACGTAGTATTCCATGGTGTATAAGTCCCATATTTTCCTTATCCAGTCCACCATTCATGGGCACCTAGGTTGATTTCATGTTTTCACTTTTGTGAATAATAGTACTGTGAACATAAGGGTGCATGTGCTTTTTGGTAGAATGATTTGTATTGCTTTGGGTATATACCTAGTATTGAGATTGCTGAGTCAAATGATATTTCTGCCTTTAGGTCTCTGAGGAATCGCCACACTGTCTTGCACAGCGGTTGAACTAACTTACACTCCCACTTACCACTTATACAAAACAGTGTGTAAGTGTTCCTTTTTCTTCACATCCTTGACAATATGTACTATTTTTTTGACTTTAAATTAGCCATTCTGACTGGTACGAGCTGATATCTCATGGTGGCTTTGATTTGCATTTCTCTGATGATTAGTGATTTTGAGCTTTTTCTCATATGCTTGTTGGTCATGTGTATTTGCTTGTTTGAAAAGTGTCTGTTTATGTCCTTTGCCCATTGTTTAGTGGGGTTATTTTATTTTTATTTATTTTATTTTTTGCTTGTAGATTCGTTTAACCTCATTATACTTTGGATTTTAGACCTCTGTCAGATGCATAGTTTGCAAATATCTTCTCCCATTCTGTGGGTTGTCTGTTTACTCTGTTGACCGTTTCCTTTGCTGGAAAGAAGCCCTTTAGTTTCATTAGGTCTCACTTGTCTATTTTTGTCTTTATTGTAATTGCTTTTAGAGACTTCATCATAAAATTTTTGCTAAGGCCTATGTCCAGAATGGTATTTTCTGTTTTCGTCTAGAGTTCTTATAGTTTTAGATCTTACATTTAAGTATTTAATCAATTTTGGATTGACTTTTGTATAGGGTGAAAGGAAGAGGTCTACTTTCAATCTTCTGCATATGGCTATCCAGTCATCACAGCACCATTTACTGAATAGGGTATCCTTTCACTGTTGCTTGTTATTGTTGACTTCGATGAAAATCAGATTGTTGTAGATGTGTGGTCCTGTTACTGTGTTCTCTGTTCTGATCCATTTGTCTATGTATCTGTTTTTGTAACAGGACCATACTGCTTTGGTCAGTGTAGCCTTGTTGTATAGTTGTATAGTTGTTAGTGTAACCTTATTGCGTAGCGTAGGTTTGAAGAGAAGCTTTCTGGTTGCATCTATTCAGACATCTTGGCTCTTCCTCTATATTAGGTTTTAATCAAGGTGGAGTCACTAGCAGTCTAAACATATTATGGCACAACCTCTAAGGGAAGCATCTATATCTGTCACTTTTTTTTCAAAAAAATAATTTGACTTTCCATGAGGAATAAATAGTTAAACATGCCCAATAGGGGTACAGACTTCCTCTCCTTCCTCTGGTTTCATGTAGTGAGAACACATGGAATCCCTCCTTGTGAGTATAATGTAGCACAATTTCAACATATTTAGGTGTACATTATGGGACATTACAGACTGATTTACTAAATTTGTACATGTTTACATACTATATCTTCTGTGGTATAAACCAGTATATAATGACCTTAAGAATATACTTAGAGGGTAAAGTAGTTAATCAAGATCTATATCTTTTGAGTTAATCTCAACAGGTCTAAGGACAACTGGAAAAAAAAGTGAACATAGTACAGTATTAGAAAACCTAGTAAGACTTAATCTTCCTCCTTGCCCTTTTTCTACTCAAGCTCCCAAGGAAAGAGACTAATTCATTATATTAACAGTTAATTACGCCATTAGACAGAGTATATCTTGACTTGCAAGTAGAAGTACTTCATGTACCACCACTCAACATCAGCAGCATAAATGGCATTCATATTAACTATTTAAATGAACTCTACTGAAAACATTATGAGCAGTATGCATTAAAAAAAGTTTCAAATGAATGATACTCATTCATGTTAATATTAATAATATTAAATATAAAAAATACTTAATATTATAGATTTCCGAAGCACATATAGAATGTAGTACTTCTACCTAGTTTTTGCTACATGCCAGAAAGTATTTCCACTTGTTTTACAAATGTTAACTCATTTAATCACCTCTAAAAACTTCTTATTAGGTTAGTTATCTTTCCTGTTTATATTGTTAGAAAATGAAAAGATATTAAGAAAATTGAAAATTCACATGAAAATTAAGTGCCAGATTTAGATTTGAACTCTGGCTCTGGAATCTATTTGCCTAACTAGCGCACCAAACACTGCCTCTAGATTAAAAAGGTAGATACAATCATTAATATTAATTTATAATCATGTACTGTAATAATGTAATACATAATGTAAATTATAATGTAATATATTCTATCCACATAACAAGACTATTCAGGCTTAAAATAAGAAAAATTCCTTTGTTAAGAGAATAGTAAGCTATTTAAAACCTAAAAGATTGGTAGAAAAATTAAGCTTAATTGTGAAATTGGACATGTACAATTTTCTGTTTGGGGGAAAGTGTTACATAATAGGCAGAGCTAAAGCAGTGAGAAAAAGTATTACATAGTGAGCGGAGCTAAATTAGTGAGGAAAAGTGCTTAAACTATTTATATCAAAGATCAATATTACTGAAATGATCAGAAGCTTAATAAAAAAACTCTTAAGGAAAACATTAATAAAACAAGTACATTTTTATTTAAGCTAATGTTATTTTAGATATCATTTGAATTTAGATTTGTTTAAAAACAAGTTCTTAGGCATTTAGTGAGAGTATCTGGAGTCCTTGTATTTTAAAAATCAATTCAGGAACAAAGCATACATCAGTATTTTAAATTTTATTTGTTTAGTCATAAATATTACATAAATTTTGAAATATCAAAATGAAAATGGCATTTATAACATTAATACTTTATGTATAAGATATATTTTAATATTCATTAAAAGTAAATGTCAAATGCATTATTAGTCATATTAAAAGTAGCTACTAGTCCCGATCAAACAGTTAAGCAGTTCTAAGCAGCAGTGCAGTGACAGCTGCTAGGCTGGCATGTCATACTTCCATAGATTTTGCTGGTAAAGAGACAGTGAGCCCAAATGGATTTAGACAGGCAATTTTTCAGGGCAATACAGACATCTTGAGCTTCATGCTAGCATCGGTTTCCCAACGCTGCATAGTATTATGGGGATAATGGGAAAACATGCCCAGGTGAATATGACAAATAAAACCCCAGTGTAAATTTATTAGTATTATGATTTTCTTAAAATACAACATTTAAAAATTAGCAATGGCAAACTATAAAACTAAATAAATACAAATGAACTACATTAATAGATATGTGATAGTCTTTGTTTGCTTGATTAGTCTTGCTTTATTTGGAGTAATTTATTTTAGTCATTTTCATATTCATTCACATCATTTTTTTCCTAATTTTATAATGATATAATTTCAAACAACAAGTCTATTACTTTTCTCGGTCATTTAGTGTAATAATTTGCTCCAAAATGTTACACTGAAACATAATAAAAATGCACTTAATATGAACCTCATTGCATCTTTATTGCAATGTGAGAGAATTGCTGTTAAAAAACATTGGTATACAAAAAAGTACTACGTGGCATTTTAGTGAGAAATATCATATCACCTACCACGATTTAGCTTCTATTATATTTTTGGCATGTTTACATTACTGTTACATTTCATAATTATATTCTTCTGTTATTTTTCTCTTTGACTTATAACACATTTCTCTTTTCTGTATAGAAAATTATTACCGCACTTAGCCTTCATTTGATGTAATTATCTTATTTGTAAATTAACATCATACTTGTTCTTTTCTTATTAGCCCTCAGCAACTAAAATATTTTAGTATTTCACCAAAGAGTGCCATTTTATGAACAAAATAATCACATCAGTATATTATGCAAATCAAACAATAAGGTCATGTACTAGGAAAAAAATGCTATTTTGAATTTTTACTCCAAAAGATATTTGGACTTCATAATTTATAAACTATATGTGTCCATATTATTTTGAAAATGGAAATTCAACAATTATGTGGGATACGTGAGAGTCCAAGAATAGATCCTCTTGAAAATAAGAATTAGCAATATCCATGGCTATTTGGAATGAGGCTTGCCCATTCCTTCCTGCCCTTTCCTTACTTGTTGAGGCAACCAAGAGAGTTGTATGGTTCAATTAAAAAGCTCTAATGTGGTAGAACCTCTGTCCACTGGAGTATCAACATAGAGTAAACCTCCTACAGTGCTTTCTTATATGTATGAAATCAATGAAAATGAAATACAATTATGTTGTTTATATTATGGTTGTCTATATGGATGAATTCAACACATTGCTTCCAAAGTTGGATATCTTGGAAATTCAAGATATGAATTTGATATAATGTGTGTCACATGTAAAGAAATATATGCAATTAATAAATTAATAACTTAAAGTTACAAACATAATTAATACTTATTTACCAACCAAGCCAAATGAGTATTACAAATTACCAAATCTGTTACAACTAACTGTTTGCTATCCCATCTATATTAGCTATGACAAGATTAGACTGCCATAAAAAAGACAAAACAATAACTATTTTAGTGGTTGAAAAAAGATAATTTTTTAAATCCCTAGTAATAGTTCAAGGTGAGCCTCGTAAATCAGTGAACTAGTGGTCTTTGTAGACTCTGATTCTTCTATAATGTCCTCCTATTCACAGCTTTGACTCTTATTTCCATGGTTGAAGTTGTTATAATTCAAGATTGCAATGTGGAATGAAGAAAAAATGTGAAATCTTTCATACTATCTTCAGTATATATTTTAAATTTCACATATCACTTTCATTTACATTCTCCTGAATAGCAGTTGGTCTCATATCCACTCATAAGTCATCTCTGCCAGGTTGTCTAGTCTTATGACCTTGAAAAAGAGAACAACAGATTCTGGTGCACAGCTCTCTAGGTTTGACACAACATCCACTTGCTTACCTTGAAGTTACACATTTCCCTAAATGTTATGTTATTGATTCATTTTTTATTCCTTAAAACAATTGTCCCTGATTTATCTACATATATCCTTAAATGACAAGTTGATTCGTTTCGCTTGGTTTTGAGATTTACAGTAATTTACATGTTGATATGTTTTTAAAATAAACATTATATTACTGCAATTTTATCTACTTTCTCTGAAAGTTTAATTTCATTGATTTTGACTACTATATAAAATTCTATTGTGCGATTTTAATGTACTTTATTTTGCATTCTCCCACTAATGTAAATTGGTGCTATTTTCAGATTTTATTACTGTAAAGAACACTGCTATATATGTTTTCATGGTTACCTTCATTTTCAAATGCAAGTGTATTAGTACATTCTCACACTCCTATAAAGAAATACCTGAGACTCGATAATTTATAAAAAGGCTTAGTTGACTTATGATTCTCCAGGCTGTTCGGGAAGCACAGTGGCTTCTGTCTCTGGGGAGGTCTCAGGAAGCTACCAAGAATGGCCAAAGGCAAAGAGGGAACAAGGCACTTTACATGGCAGGAGCAGGAGGAAGAGAAACAGGGCAAGGAGGTGACACGCACTTTTAAATGAGCAGATCTTACAAGAACTCACTATCATGAGAATGTCACCAAGGGAGATGGTGTTAAACCATGAGCAACCAACCTCATGATCCAATCATCTCCCACCAGGCCCCACATCCAACACCAGGTGTGACAATTGAAGATGATATTTAGGCAGAGACACAGATTCAAACCATATTGTTTTGCCCCAACCCCTCCAAAATCTCATGTTGGTCTCATGTTTCAACATAAAATCATGCCTTCCCAACAGTCCACAGAGTCTTAAATCATTCCAGCATTAACAGAAAAGTCCAAAATCCAAAGTCTCATCTGATACAAGGCAAATTCCTTCTGCCTATGATCCTGTAAAAAACAAAACAAAAACAAACAAACAAAAAAAAACAAGTTAGTTACTTCCAAGATACAATGGGGATGTAGGCATTGGGTAAATACTCCCATTGCAAACAGGAGAGATCAGCCAAAAGAAAAGGACTAAAGTCCCCATGCAAGTCCAAAACCCAGCAGGGAAGTCATTAAAATTTAAAGCTTCAAAAGAATCTCCTTTGACTCCATGTCTGATATGCAGGGCACAATGATGCAAGGGGTGGATTTGCAAGCTCTTGGGCAGCTACACCCCTATGGCTTTGCAGGGTTCAGGCCCCACAGCTGTTCTCAAGAGTTAGTGTTGAGTGTTTATGGCTTTTCCATGTGTGTGGTGCAAGCTGCTTGTAGATCTACCATTCCAGGGTCTAAAGGATGGTGGCCCTCTTCTCAAAGCTCCACTAGGCAGTGCCCCAAGAGGAATCTGTGTGTGGGCTCCAACCCCACATTTCCCCTCCACACTGTCCTAATAGGAGTTCTGCCCCTGAAGCAGGCTTCTGCCTGGACATCAAGGCTTTTCCATATAGCCTCTGAAATCTAGCTAGAGGCTCCCAAGCCTCAACTCTTGCACTCTGTGTACTGGAAGTCTTAATACCACATGGAAGCCACGAAGGCTTACAGCTTGCACCCTCTGAAAGCAGTGGCCTCAGCTATACCTGGGCCCCTTTGAACCACAGCTGGAGCAGCCAGGATGCAAAAAGCCGTGCATGTCCTGAGGATGCACAGGGCAGCAGGGCCCTGGCCCTGGCCCAAGAAACCATTCTTTCCTCCTAGGCCTCCAGTTCTGTGATGGGAGGGGCCACCATGAAGATCTCTGAAATGCCTTCAAGGCCTTTTCCCCATTATCTTGGCTATCAGAACTTGCCTTCCTTTTAGTAATGCAAATTTCTGTAGCCTGCTTGATTTGCTGCCCTGATAATAGATTTTTATTTTCTACCACATGACCCAGCTGCAAATTTTCCAAACTTTTATGCTGTGCTTTTCTTTTAAATATAAGTTCCAATTTCAGGTCATTTCTTTGTTCATGCCTATGAACATAGGTTGTTAGAGCAGACAGGTTAATTCTTTAACACTTTGCCACTTATAAATTACTTGCACCAGATACCCTAAGTTATCACCCTATCACTCTCACGTTCAAATTTCCACAGATCCCTAGAGTAGGGGTACAATGCAGCCAGGTTCTTTTCTAAAGCATAACAAAAGTGAACTGTATTTCCGTTCCCAGTAAGTTCCTCATTTTCGTCAGAGACCTCCTTAGTCTTCACTTTCTTGTACATATCACTACCTGCATTTCGTTCACAACAATTTAACAAATATCTAAAAAGTCCCAAATTTTTCCTCATCTTTCTGCCTTCTGCTGAGCTCTCCAAACTCTTCTAACCTCTGCCTGTTTCCCAGTTCCAAACCTGGTTCCACATTTTCTGGCAACTTTATATCAATGCCACACTCCTCAGCACCAATTTTCTGTATTAGTCCATCCTCATATTGCTATAAAGAAATACCTGAGACTCAGGAATTTATAAAGAAAGAAGCTTAATTGGCTCATAGTTCTGCAGGTTATACCGAAAGCATAGCAGCTTCTTCTTCTGGGGAGGCCTCAGGAAGGTTCCAATCACAGCAGAAGTCAAAGAGGGAGTGAGGCACTTCACACGCTCAGAGCAGAAGGAAGTGGGAAGGTGTGTCACACACTTTCAAATGACCAGATTTAATAATAACTCACTATCACAAGAACAGCACCAAGGGGGATGGTGTTAAATCACGAAAACCACCTGATAATTCAGTCACCTCTCATCAGGCCCCACCTCCAACACTGGGAGTTACAATTTGACATGAGATTTGGGCAAAGACAGAGATCCAAACCCTATCAGCAAAATTTCTTCCAGTAGAAAATCTAAGAGTAGAATTGTCGAACTGCAGTATATATATAACTGAAAAGACAATGATAAAATTATTTTCCAAATTATTTGTTTAGGCCATTTTTTTCAAATTGATGATAATAACTTTATATAAATTCTAAACACTACTAATTACACTTTTCTTCAAATACTTTAAACCCCAACAGAGGTGTTTAAGTTGTTTATTTTCATCTCTTTCTTGTTGACTTTTGCTCTGTGTGTATGTTAAGAAATTCAACTTATTCACTTCTTAAATATGTGCCTTCAAATTATTAATAACACTACAAGGGATAAAACAGACTTTAAAACCATGAGTCAAGAAATTTCATGGAATAGATGTGTATTGTTTGCCAAATACATCAAGTTGTATATATTTATTATGTACAGCCATTTGTATGTGAAAATACATGAATAGAATACTGAAAAAAATTTCATAGACTGAAAGTTTATTTTGCCCATATAGCACCAATCAAAAGCCAAAAAAAGCGTGTCAAAATACCTCCACTGTCCAAAATACCTCCACTGTCCAAAATTCCAAACTACCACATATTTATTTTAAAAATAGCTACAGAATATAATATATTCATTACTATATTAAAAACTGGAGATACATAAGTGAAAAAAATCACTGTTATTTCCATAGTTTATTGAAAGAGATGAAAAGTGAAGTAGATGTAGCTACTATAGGTATATGAGAAATAGTAAAAAAAAAGTTGTAGAAGTCTTGTGTTTATTCAATATCTTAATCATAGAACATCACAGTGCTATAGGAGTTTGAAGACGGGGTTTTCTAAACTTAAGTTTGGCAGTTCATGTTAAACGGATACAACATGAAAGACGGGAAATGGTACTTTGGGGAAACTAAGCCCATTTGGCTTTGCTTCAGCTAAAGTTACCATAGAAAGAAGGCGATGCAAAAAGGGTGGATGAAGGTAATATACCAAAGATGAAAGAACTTCTTGCCAAACTATGAAGTTTGCTTTAATTTACAAAGAACTCTTGGCTGAATTGATTATATTTCCATCACTATGATAACAGAGTGGCTTAAATAATAAACTTCAAATGAAGTCAAATCTGCATTTGTGTTTCCAAACTCAAAAAGCAGTTGAAACTTCATGTACGTGAATACAGAGAACACGTAAGAAAATATTCACAGCTGGCCAGGCGCAGTGGCTCAAGCCTGTAATCCCAGCACTTTGGGAGGCGAGGCCGAGGCGGATGGATCACGAGGTCAGGAGATCGAGACCATCCTGGCTAACAAGGTGAAACCCCATCTCTACTAAAAATACAAAAAATTAGCCGGGTGCGGTGGCAGGCGCCTGTAGTCCCAGCTACTCGGGAGGCTGAGGCAGGAGAATGGTGTGAACCCGGGAGGTGGAGCTTGCAGTGAGCGGAGATCGCGCTGCTGCACTCCAGCTGGGCGACAGAGCAAGACTCCGTCTCAAAAAAAAAAGAAACGAAAATATTCACAGCTAATATATACTTTTTCAGGAATGTTTTACCTGGTAAAAGTCAATTATTTAAAAAAATTCATAATAATTTAATTAAGTGTTACTATTATTATTCCATTTGACAGATAGTGAAATTATGGCCCATAAATATCAAGTAAATTGCCCAATGACATACAGTAGATGATAGTAAATCAACATAGAATGCAAAGCCAGGCTCCAAGAGCCAGCACATGTAACTACAACGTTATACGAAGAACAACATTTAAAAGAATAGAAAATTATCATCTTTTAAGGCAGGCAAAATCAAAGGTACAACACAACAAGATAAAGAACCAATACATATGTTTCTTAAATCCTTATTTGCCTCTGAGTCAAATCTTCTAGAAGTTAGATCTTTTAAAAAATGAAGACAACAAAAAGTGAGACATTTCAACTGATCTGCATCTATGTGTGATTATACTAGATTGTGTCTCTTGTGAACATTCTATTGTTAGAAGATTTCTTGTGTAATTATAAGATGAAAAACAGATTGTGGATATTACCCTCTGTGATGGGACTCCTTGCTGTTGCAAGTGGAAGATTTTTTTGAGTTAATTGAAAGCACAGCTTGATGTCCCATGCAGTTTAAATACAGATATTCAAAGCAGAGAAAAATAGTAAATAAATCAACTCTGCTAAAGTAATATTTGAATTGAAATAAGTTGGTAGAATAAAGAGAATTCTGGATTATAGTTATTTTAAAGTCTTTCAATATCTCTAAACATATAACGTGTGTAACACATTACTGATAACTTGAAGATTTATCCTTAAGTAAATGTTCATCATCTTGAGGCAAACATGCTAATTAGCACTGGCATACAATGACTAAAGTGACTGGGAATAAAAAGCTTTTGTAGAATCTGTAGGTAAATATTAAGCATTCATATAAGTTCTTTTTAAATACAGTAAGTCGCTATGCATAAATTATTTTTCTCTGGAGATACTTTTCTTATCACCATTTTTCAGGAGATGAAACATTGGTAAAATGATTAAGCATGCCAAAGAGCTCAAGCCTAATTGGTGGCAGAGCCAGAACAACATTAATGACTATCCATCGTGTTCTTTTTACTATTGTTTTAAATTGACAGATAAAATTGTATATATTTATTGTGTACAACATGATGTCATGAATTATATATACATTGTTGAATGATTAAAAATAGCTACTTGCCATATGCATTAACTTATTTAGTTATTTTTGTGGTGAAAGCACTTTATATCCACTCTCTTAGCATTTTTAAAGAATATAATAAAAAAAACCGTAATCAACATCTCCTTTATCTAAGAAATCATTTTTGAGCCAAGTACTCTTGTAGGTGCTAAGAAGAAAGGCAAAAACTGAAGCCATAAAACTGATGAATGAATAAACAATGAGAGCATAAATATGTAGCATAATCATTTATATTAATAAAGTAATACAGATGGAGGAGAAATAAAGTGAGGCTTGATATTTCTCATGAAGTTATCAAGGAAGAAACGCTGTAAAGTCTCATAAAAGATCTCTTCATGAAAGATAAACTTGAATGAAATGAAGAAGTAAATAACAAAGATATCATTCCAGTGTTTGTATATTTTACCTTTTCTTACATATATATTTTAATTATATTTATATTTATATTCAGTATATCTAGATATTATGTATATCTATATACACATGGTTACCCTTTAGTATCCACAGGAGACTGAGGGGATTGATTCAAATACAATATGTAGACACCAAAATCTGTGGATGCTCAAGTCCCTTATACAAAGTCCCAGAGAGGATATGAAGAAAGGGGATTGCTTGTACTTTGTTGGTGGGAATATAAATTAGTACAGCCCTTATGGAGAACAGTATGGAGGTTCCTAAAAAAAACTGAAAATAGAACTATTACACCACCCCATTGTGGAAAATAGAACTATTCTACAATCCCATTGCTTGTTATATATCTGATAGAAAAAAAATCAGTAGATAGAAGAGATAGCTACACTTTTATGTTTATTGCAGCACTATCCACAATTGCCAAGATATACAATCAACCCTAGTGTCCCTCAGTGAATGAATGGATAAGGAAAATGTGGTGTATATACAAAATGAAATATTATTCTGCCTAAAAAGAGTGAAATCCTATCATTTGCAGCAACATGGATGGAATGAGAGGACATACAGTTAGGTGAAATAAGCCAGACACAAAAGGACAAATACTGCATGTTCTCATTTACACGCAGGAGCTAAAATATTTGAGCTAATGAAGGTGGTTACCAGAGGCTAGGAAGGGTAGTGAGAAGGGGATAGATAAAAGGGTTGGTAGATGGGTACAAAAATACAGTTAGATAGAATAAATAAATTCTAGAGTTCAACAGAACAATAAGTTGACTGTAGTTAACAATAATTTATTGTATATTTTAAAATTGCTAGAAGATTTGGAATGTTCCCAATACAAAGAAATGACAAATGTTTGAGATGACGGATATCCTAATTACTCTGATTTGATTATTAAACACTGTATGCTCGTAACAAAAATCGCATGGACCCCATAAATTTGTACAACTATTATTTATCGATGTAAATTTTAAAAAAGCATAGTATTTTTGTATTAGCACATTTCAAGAATTCAATGTATCATCAGCTATAATAATTATCCTCTCCTTTAACTTATTTAAGAAATAATTTTTGAAGCAGGTACCCTTGTAGGTGCAAAGAACAGAGGCACAAATTGTAGCCATAAAACTCATATTTAGTAAAATACATGTAGGCCCACCTGTCATATACTTTGACCATCTCTAGATTACTTTTAATACCTAATACAAAGTAGATGCTATGTAAATAGTTGTTATACTGTATTTTTTATTTGTGCTATTTTTATTGTTGTATCTTTTTAAAAAACCTAAATGTTTTTAATCCACGGTTGGTTAAATCTGTAGACATGAATTCCGTGGATATCGAACACTCAGTATATATGTGTGTGTGTGTGTGTGTGAATGAATGAATACGTATTCATTCATATATATATAAATGAATGTAATTTTAGATGAGAAAGTAGAAAATATAAATATACATTAACATATATTGTATATATTTGTGATCAAAGTATTTCCATATATATTTTTGCCCATATATACATGTATGTGTGTGATATGTATGCATAGTATTAACATATGTGTATTCCATTCCATTCCCAAAATGTCAATCTAAAACTCCTGATATAATTTTCAGAGATATTACCAACCTGTAATTCCCCAACTCCTGACTATCCAATCAAAATGTTGCTTCTCAATCATAAGCACAATAGTTTACATTTGGCCAACTCTCTATTCAGACAATGAAGACTAACAAATGTATTCTTAACTTTGCTGATGTCTTTTAGGGATGCTTCTGATACTGTCTCAGCCCATTCCCAATTAGAATTAAAATACTGTGCAGAACGAAGACTTTTGTAAAAGTTCCAACAAACATTCCAAGAACTCCCCATGAGAAGGTAGATGTGGTTTGAGGAGGAGGGTGGGCACCTAGGAGGTGATACCATGAGAATATGAGAAACATATTTATAAAATCTACCTGCCCCTGGGGTACTGCTTTTGCTCAGCCTAGAGCACATACAGACTTTTCAATTAAAAGCTGCATTTTCGTTAATCCAAAGCTTATAATGTGATAGATTAGTTACAATTTATAATGGGCACCTCAAGTTATGTGAGCACCTCAGGTTATGTGGGCATCTTATGGCCAAAAGACAGGTATTTTTTAAGGCCTATTAGCAAGCTATGAAGAATATCCCATACAACATAAGATGATCCAAAATCCCCAGGAATCTTCTCTGTGAATTTCTATTGAAGCTTTTCAGAGGTTTAATATGACATACCTACTTAAAACTATTAAAGTACAATTAGATCTGCTGGGTTATAGGACCAGTCCAAAAGAAAAGCTTGCACTCAACCTTGGAATTTTCGCAGAGCCTTTTCTTGCTCAGGGTTCTACTCAGAACCTATGAATTACCTGAATCCAGTATATGCTGCTCTAAAATGTAAGGGGCCCAACCAAGGGTTTTTTTTTTTTATGGTTTTGTTTTGTTTTGTTTTGTGATGGGTTGTGTAGGTAGCAGCAACTTGTCTCCCAATTTGTAAAGGATATCATAACAGCTTTTTAGACTATTACATACTGAGAAGTTTCACTTAAGTGGAATGATCTTGAATTTCTATGACATTTATGTCTCACCCTTTAGCATGCCCGTGTCACAACTTATTTGCTAACTTATTCTCTACTCCCTCCTTCTCAGGTCTAGTCAGCATGCTATTATCAATGTGAGAGATAATCTGTATTACATTTTGTGTTATGTCAATTAAACTAAGATCTTTATAACTAATGCAGAGAGAAAGAGAGTTAATATAGACCGGTGACAGTCCATAACAAAGTGTTATTTTCTTTTCTAGGTAAACGAAACTGCTTCTGTGAGTTTTTGTTAATTAATATAGTGAAAAGAGCAATTAATGGATCAATGGTTTTATATTAACTGATAGAAGCCTTGCATGTAAAATATTACACCTGAAATCAGGTGTAATCCTGTAAAATTTTACTACAGGATCAGTCCCAAGTAAAATTTTACTACAACCAATAGCCATTCACAGAAGCTAATAAGCCTCTGCACAGACCAAATCTGTAATTTAATTGATAATGTGATAGACACTAATACCCTCCTTCCTTAAAGTGTGGTGTGTGTGTTTTAATGATATTAATTTCTTGAATTCTCCCAGCTATGTGGTGCTTTTTTTAAAAAAGAATTATTATCCTGGTTAAGAAATAAAAAGGCTAATGGGGCTTCCAATTAGCATTTTTTTTATAATAGCCCAAGTCCATGGTTTAGATAGCCAATATGAGTAATCTGCTTGTTTCCAGTAAATGAATCCAATTCAGGAACAAGAGAATTAATGACAGATACGTTCTGTAGACCCAGTGACCTACCCATGCAGGAGACCTATGCCCAAGTTTAATTTATTACCTGATGTCCACAGAAGTCCACTTTGATTGGTGGACCGCAGTCACAGAGTGGGTGTCTCAGAAAATATCAACTCAAAACCTGTGTCTACTAGAACATGGTATTTTGATTTTTCCATGATAAAGTTATCTTAGTAAGTGGCCATAGCTCCTAATACAACCTAGAAAATTACTTACATACATCTTTCAGCAATTTTGAATGATCTTATCACAAGCGAACCCTGACTTAACTTCACTTGAGGAGTTCCAGGTAAATAAACTAGCCTAGATGTTGGACTTTGATTGCAGGCTAAAATATTCCATTATATCAATTGAGTCAGATTTACACCTTCAGATCTAGAAATTATGTATTTATTTATTTAATAAAGTATCACTTTAATATATTTTCTAAGTATTTTATTTATTGATAAATGTGTTTATTCCATCACCACCAAAATCTCTGTGGTTTAAGACATTCTGTTACTCTTTTATTCATTCCTGCTTCTACATATGGTAATGCCACCCACTTTATTGTTGGAGGTTGAAGATAACAATGAAGCCTCTGTTACTTTCAAACGAACATTGAAATTAGAGAGATATTCTTAATAGCAGCATCTCATAACATCATCCCAAACTAAAGGTCCCAGTAAATACAGAACTTTATAAAGAAGCTGGCCCTTATTTCTCCATGAATGCATTTCTCAATTCCTTAGTAAAGCAATTTTCTTCTGAGTCCTATCTGAGTGTGAAACAGGGTGTATATATCCAGGTTTTTCATCAAGAGTTAGTTCCAACTTTTTCATCATCTTAAGCGTTTGATTTTTTTCTCTCCACTATATCAGAGAAGTTTTGGTACTTAACTGCATAGAATAATATTCGGTCTTGTGTTCAGATTTCAATCAATTCACTGCACAAATTGTTTGAGCCACTCTCCATTGTTTAAACTAACATATAACATCTAGAATCTGGTAAGTTACCTAGAAAGATAATTTACTCCCAATTTTATATTTTATCTTTCTTATTCCAACATCTCTATAATCCAATTCTACACATTTTTCCATAAGCCTTCATAAACAAAAGTTAGTACAGATTTTCAACTATTATTGAGAATAAGCTATCTTTTCCTGTGTCACATTTGATACTTAAACCCTTACAGCATATTAATATATGATTCTAGTTATAGAGGCAATAAGGAGTAGAAGTACTGTATCTTCAGAAAAAATGAACATTCTCTTTTGAAGAATTTCCTAATAACAGGTTATTACAATGTTATTATGTAAAGATGAAAAATAAGTTGTTTCCTGTAGTCATCTGTTTTGCATGAAGGAATACCTAAGACTGGGTAATTTATAAACAGAAGAGGTTTATTTGACTCACAGTTCTATAGGCTGTACCCAAAACACGGTTCCAGCATCTGTTTCTGGCAAGGCCTGAGGAAGCTTACAATCATCGTGGAAGGCAAAAGGGGAGCCAGCATGTCACGTGGAGAGACTGGGAGAAACAGACAGAAGGGGAAGGTTTCAGACTCTTTTAAACATCCAGTTCTCTTGTGAACTCATTACCACAGGGAGGGCACCAAACCATTCCTGAGAGATCCACCCCCATGACCCAAACACCTCCTATTAGGCCCCACCTCCAACACTGGTAGTCATATTTCAACATGAGATTTGGGGGAGTAAAATATTTAAACCACATCATTTCCATTGACATTGGAGGCTCAGGGTGTTTAGGGACTCATAAGTCTCAATTGCATTTGAACGTCCAAGTCATGAATCCACATCTTCCCCAAAGAGGTTTTGGTTGTTACAAATAGATGCTTGACAAGTCTTTGGTTTACACTGTAATTCTTCAACATGCTCAATCACATGAACATGGGGTATTTTTAGTCACGTTTACTTTACAACTTCAAGAGGTCTACCAAAAAATAACTCTGGTTCTATTACTGTGACTTGAGCTGAAACTTTTCTTTCTGAACCTGCAATTTTCTTTCTATAAAGTCTGCAGTTAAATCATAACATAACCATCCTTGCCCACTAATAGCTGTCATCACTCTAATGGTTATGTACAGCAATCACTTGTTTAGACACAGCATGCTCTTCCTCAGGCACTTCACGCTATGCAGGCAGTGATGGTTCAATTCATCAACATACCAACGCATGTCATATTCCCTGTGGACCTTTTTCTCTTGTAAAGACACTCAATATGATGCAAAGGCCACTTACTAAAACATAGCAATCTCAGATTTCCATCGTTGAGAGTCTATTTTCTGACCTTATTGTATCCATCATTGTTTCATTAATGGTCCTGTCAGAACACAGAAAACAAAGTACGTGCTGAAGCGGGCTTATAATGATGAGTGGATTGTGTACTTATCTTCCTAATCTGTATTTTGACATCACATCTGTAGTTTCAATCAGACATGATGAGAATATTTACATCTTTAAAATAGCAAGTTCTACAAATCAAGGCTGCTCCTTTACCCTACCCTATCCATACCAGACAGCCAGTTGCTAAACATTCACCATCACCTCACAGCACATATATATTTTAAGTAGATGATTTTTAATAGGCTTGATTTAACATATATTGGATAACTAAGAGAAAAAAGAGTATCTGTAAATATTCAGAAACCAATAATTGCAAGAATAATTTCCAAACATGGGTGTCAGGAAATAAAGGGAAGAGGTGTCCTTATGAGAACTTAATGGTGCAAAAGAGCAGTGCAATGAGCTGTGTGTTCAGAGGGAACATTGCCCTCCTAGTGCTTGTATGTCTAAGGTGGTTGTTTAAATCACAGAAAAAGGGGTTGTTTAAACTACAGAGAAAAGCAACGTGCTCCCAACAGGCTGTTGTGAGGGGAGCAGCCTACTATGGTCTCAGACAACCCAGAGTTTGTTTCCCAGTGGATATGTGAGAGCAATGTGGCTGCTGCTCTGCTTGACAATAGGAATGGCATCTTTGCTTTTGGTACCTCTGAGTGAGCCCAGAGATGCTGGTGCTGGGAATGCCACCAGACATTGATGGTAACTAATCACTATCATTCAAAGAATATTGAATGACAAGGACTTGAATTCAGAGAAAAAAAAAAGTCTTTTACTTTCTTCACATTTTCTGATCTTACTCTAGGGTCTCCTGTTAGTAGAACCTATTAGAAAGCCAGCTGGTCAAAGAAACTGGGAAATATAATTTATAAGGTAAGAGCCTAGGAACACAAATCTGAGTGTAAAAGCAAGCTATAGAATTAGGATATAATAGGCAAGTAACCACGACTTGGAGCATGTGCATCTTGTAAACAGAGTTTGGAATTTTATACGGAGACAACTGAAAGGGTGTGAAATTCTTAATAGGCAGGGAATAAACTAACCAAATAATATTTTAGAAATAATTCTCTTCTTCAAGGCTAGGTTTGTCTACTTTTCACTCTGGGTTCTACTATTTGCAGGTAGGTCACCAGAACACCCACCTTGAATCTTAGAACAAGGATGTAAAAAGCACAGAGTGAGAAATGTTGAAAGTGTGGCTACACAGGCGTGTCCAAAGTCCAGGAGGAGGTTTGCCCATTATGGAGAACTTTCCAAGTCTACATGCTTCATAGTCCTCTCTGACAGCTCAGTCCTGTTGTGTCCGGAATTGGTGGGTTCTTGGTCTCACTAACTTCAAGAATGAAGCCGCGGACCCTCACGGTGAGTGTTACAGTTCTTAAAGTCAGTGTGTCCGGAATTTGTTCCTTTTGATGTTCAGATGTGTTCACAGTTTCTTCCTTCTGGTGGGTTCGTGGTCTCGCTGGCTCAGGAGTGAAGCTGCAGACCTTCGCAGTGAGTGTTACAGCTCATAAGGCAGTGTGGACCCAAAGAGTGAACAGTAGCAAGATTTATTGCAAAGAGAGAAAGAACAAAGCTTCCAGAGTGTAGAAAGGGACCCGAGCAGGTCGCCACTGCTGGCTCCGGCAGCCTGCTTTTATTCTCTTATCCGGCCCCACCCACATCCTGCTGATTGGTAGAGCCTAGTGGTCTGTTTTGACAGGGTGCTGATTGGTGCATTTACAATCCCTGAGCTAGACACAAAGGTTCTCCAAGTCCCCACCAGATTAGCTAGATACAGAGTGTGGACACAAAGGTTCTCCAAGGACCCACCAGAGTAGCTAGATACAGAGTGTCCATTGGTGCATTCACAGACCCTGAGCAAGACACAGGGTGCTGATTGGTGTGTTTACAAAACTTGAGCTAGATACAGAGTGCCAATTGGTGTATTTACAATCCCTGAGCTAGACATAAAGGTTCTCCAAGGCCCCACCAGAGTAGCTAGTTACAGAGTGTTGATTGGTGCATTCACAAACCCTGAGCTAGACACAGGATGCTGATTGGTGTATTTACAATCCCTGAGCTAGACATAAAGGTTCTCCACGTCCCCACCAGACTCAGGAGCCCAGATGGCTTCACCCAGTGGATCCTGCACTGGGGCTGCAGGTGGAGCTGCCTGCCAGTCCCTCGCAGTGCGCCCGCACTCCTCAGCCCTTGGGTGGTCGATGGGACTGGGCGCCGTGGAGCAGGGGGCGGCGCTCATCGGGGAGACTCAGGCCGCACAGGAGCCCACGGAGCGGGTGGGAGACTCAGGCATGGTGGGCTGCAGGTCCCGAACCCTGCCCCGCGGGAAGGCAGCTAAGGCCCGGAGAGAAATCCAGCGCAATGCTGGCGGGCTGGCACTGCTGGGGGACCCAGTGTACCCTCCGCAGCAGCTGGCCTGGTTGCTAAGCCCCTCATTGCCCGGGGCCGGCAGGGCCGGCCAGCTGCTCCGAGTGCGGGTCCCGCCAAGCCCATGCCCACCCGGAACTCCAGCTGGCCCGCAAGCGCCGCGGGCAGCTCCGTTTCCGCTCGTACCTCTCCCTCCACACCTCCCTGCAAGCTGAGGGAGCCGGCTCAGGCCTTGGCCAGCCCAGAAAGGGACTCCCACAGTGCAGCGGTGGGCTGAAGGGCTCCTCAAGTGCCGCCAAAGTGGGAGCCCAGGCAGAGGAGGCGCTGAGAGCGAGCGAGGGCTGTGAGGACTGCCGGCACGCTGTCACTTCTCACTGTTAATAGTCTGTTTGACCTCAGAGAGAGTGGGAGATGGTGGAATAGAACTCTCTAGCAATCGTCCCCACATAGAAAAATCACTGGACAACTATCCACATGCAAAAATACCTTCACAAAAGCTAGCAAAATAACTTCACAAAATACCTTCACAAAAATACCTTCATAAAACCAGGTAAGCTATCATAGTACCTTCTTGTAGCACAATAGTAAGAAGAATGTATTAAAGAGGGTAGGAAGAAGAGTTTTACATTATCTGCGTTACCCCCACCCTAGGTAGCACAGTACAGACACATAAAAAATTCACTTTGAATGATAGTGATTAGTTACCATCAATGTCTGGTGGCATTCCCAGCACCAGCATCTCTGGGCTCACTCAGAGGTACCAAAAGCAAAGATGCCATTCCTATTGTCAAGCAGAGCAGCAGCCACATTGCTCTCACATATCCACTGGGAAACAAACTCTGGGTTGTCTGAGACCATAGTAGGCTGCTCCCCTCACAACAGCCTGTTGGGAGCACGTTGCTTTTCTCTGTAGTTTAAACAACCCCTTTTTCTGTGATTTAAACAACCACCTTAGACATACAAGCACTAGGAGGGCAATGTTCCCTCTGAACACACAGCTCATTGCACTGCTCTTTTGCACCATTAAGTTCTCATAAGGACACCTCTTCCCTTTATTTCCTGACACCCATGTTTGGAAATTATTCTTGCAATTATTGGTTTCTGAATATTTACAGATACTTTTTTCTCTTAGTTATCCAGTCTTTCCAGTGCTATTCTTGTGGTAGTGAATAAGTCTCATGAGACCTGAAGGGTTTATCAGGGGTTTCTGCTTTTGCTTCTTCCTCTTTTTCTCTTACTGCCACCATGTAAGAAGTGCCTTTCACCTCCTGCCATGATATTGAGGCCTCCCCAGCCATGTGGAACTCTAAGTCCAATTAAACCTCTTTTTCTTCCTAGTCTTGAGTATATCTTTATCAGCAGCATGAAAATGGACTAATACAGTGTTATAATCAAAAGAGATAAAGAGAGGAGCTTGAAAGCAGCAAGAGAAAAGAAGTAAATAACATAAGGAATTTTAATAGAGCTAGCTGTAGATTTCTGAGCAGATATCTTACAGGACAAGAGAGATTAGGATGATATGTTCAAAGAGCTGAAGGACAAGAAACTGCCAATGAAGAATACTGTGTCCAGCAAAGGTATCCTTCTCAACTAACTAAGTCAGGAACAGAAATACAAATACTGCACAATCTCGCTCATATGTGGAATCTATAGAAATTTATATCATAGAAGTAAAGCATAGGCTGATGGTTAGGAGCAGATAGGAAGGTTGGAGAGTAGGGAGTTGGAAAAATATTGGTCAAAGCATAGAATATTTCAGCTACATAGGAAAAATAAGACCAAAAGTTCTATTGAACAACATGGCAACTATAGTTAATAACTTATTCTTAAAACAATACTAAGAGAATGGATGTAAAGTGTTCTACTACAAAAATATAACTATGTGAGTTAATGTTAATTAAATATATTTAGTCATTTTATAATGTATACATACAGTTAACTTTTGAACAACATGGGTTTGAACTGTGTGGGTCCACTTACATTCAGATTTTCTTCCACTTCTCTGATCCCTGAGAAAACAAGACCAATGCCTCCCCATCTGCTCAGCCTATTCAATGTGAACATAATGAGAATGAAGACCCTTATAATAATCTATTCGTAATTAATAAGTAGTAAATAAAATTTCTCTTCCTTATGATTTTCTTAATAACATTTTCTTTTCTCTAGCTTATTTCATGATAAACGTACTTTAAATAACAAGTGTACATAATATGTGTTAATCAACTGTTTATGTTATGAGTAAGGCTTCCAGTTAACAGTTGACTATTAGTTGCTAAGTTTTGGGGCAGACCAAAGTTACACATGAGTTTTTGTTTGTGTAGGGATTAGTACTTCTAACCCACATGTTGTTCAATAGTCTGTTGTACTTCAAGACATCATTTTGTACCTGGTGAATACATACACATTTATCTATCAATTAAATGTTTAAGCATATTTTTAAAGAAGTAAAATCATTTAAGATGAATGTTCAGAATAAGTAAGAAATAAGATAGAATTAATGAAAAACGAAGTAATTATAAGTTTGTTGCAATAACTTAGGAGAGAAATTTTGAGGGCAATAACAGTGCCAGTGGGATGGACAGACAAGGTAGCTTGAAATGCTTCTCGGGACATCAAAGTTCATGTGTCTTTATCCCATTTAGGTAACAATCTTAATAAATGCTAGATTTAACTTTGAAACTGTTGTATTGCTAATGCAAAAGAAGTATATGTTCTTAATATTCAATAGCATATTTTGTACACAGTATTTTTAAGTGTGCTTTAAACGGAAGTTCAATTTGCAATAAAAAACTATAGCATTTCAAGTTAGAAATGCCACTATTTCACTTCTACATAGTAAAGTTGAATATGATATTTTAAGTCAATTATATATTAATAAACATCTAGGTTTAGTATTTTTATAGTTTCATAGTAATTTATCACCTAACAGATATATTTAGATCCAATGCAAAGTTTTCTTTCATTTAGTTTTCATTTTAAGAATGAAGATAATTGCCTGTAACACTTAAAGTCTTGATTACTCAGAGATCAGTATTCTGGAATTTTCATATAATCTAATCAGCATCAAATATATAATTAAAGATGTTGATACAGTCTCAGAGAATAAATGTGCATTATGTGAAGAAACTTCTATTGATAAGTTAATATACAAAAGAGACTCTTCAGCCTATGCACTGCTATGGCTTCAGAAAGCCAGAGAGTTAACAGCAATCTAACAGAAATATAGGAATAGCAATTGCAAAGGCTGGTCTCATTGTAGATAGCCAACTAGTCAAATGAATATGGTCTTACTTATTAGTAGTTTGGATACTATTCAGGTAATTATTGGCCTCCAGAGTTCCAAACTAATAAGTAGAAGATAAAATCCACTCATCCTAGGCAGCAGTTCAATTTTGAAAATTAGAAGAACATGCCAAGGCAGAAATCCAATGCTATAAATGGATTCAGTCTTGGGAGGGGCAGATTATGAAGTACTACAGCTGGGCATGACATGAGTTTTTGTTCATCCATCTGATTAATCAAATCATGGTTCTCATTAAAAGCAAAGGAGATGCCAAGGACTGGCTTCTGTTTTCCTGATCTAATATGAGAACCCTTAGCCGTCTGTACTTCTGGTTGTAAGGCTGAAAGAATCTGTTGATATATGCACAGTTCCTGGTAGGACTGACTTATAAAACAGAAACAAAACTGGACAAACAGATGGTACTCTGCAAAAAATACTGCCCCGAAGATAAAGAAAAGACAAATACAGGTAAAACAGAATAGGGTTACCTGACTATGACCAAAAAAAAAAAAATCAAGAAATACTGAAGACATAACAATTACAGGACTAGATTTAACCAATGATTAGATGTTCAGTTATTTAGAGAAAAGGAATACTCAATTTATTGTACATGTTTACATGGCAAAAGCAGTGAATATAGTAGTAAGTTGCAGAAACTCAGCAAATAAGACGTGGTACTAAAAAGTGTTATGACATTAAAACTGAAATCAATTCAGTTAGAAAGGCAAATCATGATCACAATTTTACCATGATGTATAAGTAACATTAAAAAAAAAAAGGAAAAATGTGACATTTACACTCTTTAATAAAGTGCTACTGTAAGTTTGAAAACAAAATAATTGAGATGTATGCTTTCAAAAATATACCTTCTGAGTTTATTAATATAACAATAAAAGTGGGTCTCTTTATGGCTGTTTCAACATGTTGCTAAATTGAGATAAACATCCGAAAGCAATGACAAAGCAATTTTATCCTTTACAACATTCTTTCAAAAAGTGCTAGAGGTGCTGCAATTCATAACACCTTGGAGAAATTTCTACGAGTACTTGCCACCCAATTATCTCTCCAAAGCCTGAAGCATGGATACTGCATATATCCACAAATCCCTTGCTCAAATCTTCCCCGGACACTTCCCCAAATTCAGCCCAAATTTCTGACTTTTAAGTGGCACTTCCAATTCTACTTTCTGTATATAGTCTTTCCTTCTACCAGGAACAATGCTCTAAATTTCCCAATGTAAAATAGACAAAACAGTTTGAGTTCCATTCAGTTATCCCCTTCAAACTTTACCCTGATATAAACAAAAAGGTCCAGTAACAACATAATATGTTTTGGCTCTGTGTCCTCACCCAAATCTCACCTTGAATTGTTATAATTCCCACATGTCAAGGGCAGGACCAGATGGAGATAATTAAACCATGGGAGCTGTTTTCCCCATGCTGTTCTCATGATAGTGAGTGAGTTCTCGTGATATCTGATGGTTTAATAAGGGGCTTCCCCTTTGCTTGGCACTCATTCTCTCTCCTGCTACCCTGTGAACAGGTGCCTTACACCATGATTGTAAGTTTCTTGAGGCCTCCCCAGCCGGGTGAAACTATAAGCCAATTAAACCTCTCTTCTATATAAATTGCCCAGTCTCAAGTATTTCTTCATAGCAACATGAAAACGAACTAATACAGTAAATTGGTGCTGAGGCAGTGGGGCACTTTTATAAGGATACCTGAAAATTTGGAAGCGACTTTGGAACTCAGTAACAAACAGAGGTTGAAACAGTTTGGAGGGCTCAGAAGGACATAGGAAAATTTGCGAAAGTTTGGAACTTCCAAGAGACTTGGAGGGCTCAGAAGACAGGAAGATGTTGGAAGTTTCAAACTTCCTAGAGACTTGTTGAATGGCTTTGACCAAAATGCTGATAGTGATATGGACAATGAAGTCCAGGCTGAGGTGGTCTCAGATAGGGATAAGAAACTTGTTGGGAACTGAAGCAAAAGTGACTCTTGCTATGTTTTAGCAAAGAGACTGGCAGCATTTTGCCCCTGTCTTAGAGCTCTGTGGCACTTTGAACTTGAGAGAGATTATTTAGGGTATCTGGCAGAAGACATTTCTAAGTGACAAAGTGTTCAAGCGGAAACAGGGCATAAAAGTTTGGAAAATTTGCAGCCTGATCATGCAATGAAAAAATAAAATAAAAAAATTTTTAAAACACACACATTTTGGGGAGAGAAATGTAAGCCCACTGCAGAAATCTGCATAAGTAATGAGGAGCCAAATGTTAATCATCAAGACAATGGGAAAAATATCTCCAGGGAATGTCAGAGACCTTCATGGAAGCTCCTCCCATCACTTATCCAAAGGCTTAGGAGCAAAACTTGGTTTCTTGGGCCCAGTTCAGGGCCCCCCTGCTCTGTGCAGCCTCGGGACATGGTACCCTGTTTCCCAGCTGCTTCAGCTCCATTCTTGGCTAAAAGGGACCAAGATACAGCTCGAGCCATTACTACAGAGGGTGAAAGCCCCAAGTCTTGGCAACTTCCGTGTGATATTGAGCCTGTGGGTCCACAGAAGTCACAAATTGAGGTTTGGGAGCCTCTGCCTAGATTTCAGAGAGTGTACGAAAATGCCTGGATGTCCAGGGAGAAATTTGCTGCAGGGGCAGAACCCTCAGGGAGAGCTTCTGCTAGAGCAGTGCAGAAGGAAAATATGGGGTTGGAGCCACCACACAGTGTCCCCACTGGAGCACTGCCTGGTGGAGCTCTGAGAAGAGGTCCACAGTCCTCCAAACCTCAGAATGAAACATCCACTGACAGCTTGCACTGTGTACCTGGAAAAGTTGCAGGCACTAGGAAGTGTCCCAGTGGGGACTCTGTATGGGGACTCTGACCCCACATTTTCCTGGCAGAGGTTCTCCATGTGGGTTCAGCCCCTGAAGCAGACTTCTGCCTGGACATCCAGGCATTTCCGTGCATCCTCTGAAATCTAGGCAGATGTTCCCAACCCTCAATTTTGGTCTTGTGCATACCCACAGAACCAACACCCCATGGAAGCTGCCAAGGATTGGGGCTTGCACTCTCTAAAACAATGGGCTGAAATGTACCTTGGATCTTCTTAGCCATGGCTGGAGTGGCTGGGATGCAGGGCACCAAGTCCTGAGGCTGCACACAGAAGGGGGTCCTTGAATGCTGCCCAGGCAACCTTTTTTGCCTCCTAGACCTCCAGGCCTGTGAGGGGACAGGCTGCCATAAAGGCCTCTAAACATGCCCTGGAGACATTTTCCGCGTTTTCTTAATGATTAACATTCGGCTTTTCATTAGTTATACAAATTTATGCAGCTGGCATAAATTTCTTCTCAGAAAATGGGTTTTGCCTTTCTATCACATCATCAGGCTGAAACTCGCCTAAACTTTTATGTTCCACTTCCCATTGAAACATAAGTTCCAATTCCAAATTATATATTTGTGAATACATAAAACTGAATGCTTTTAACAGCACACAAGTCACATCATTAACACTTTGCTACTTAGAAATTTCTTCCACCAGATACGTTAAATCATCTCTCTCAAATTCAAAGTTCCATAGATCTCTAGGGCAGGAGCAAAATGCCACCAGTCTCTTTGCCAAAGCATAGCAAGAGTTGCCTTTGCTCCAATTCCAAACAGGTTTCTCATCTCTACCTGAGACCACATCAGCCTGAACTTCATTGTCCATATCACTATCAGCATTTTGGTAAAAGATATTCAACAGTCTCTAGAAAGTTCCAAACTTTCTCACATCTTCTTGTCTTATTCTGAGCCCTCCAAACTGCTCCAACTTCTGCCTGTTACCAAGTTCCAAAGTTGCTTCCACATTTTTGGGTATCTTTATAGCAGTGCCCCACTAACTGGTACCAATTTACTGCATTAGTCAGTTCTCATGCTGCTACGAAGAAATACCTAAGGCTGGGTAATTTATAAAGGAAAGAGAATTTATTGACTCACAGTTCCACAGGGCTGGGGGCACCTCAGGAAACTTACAATTATGATACAAGGAAAGGCAAACACGTTTTTCTTCACATTGCAGATGCAAGAAGAATAAAAACTAAGTGAAGTGGAAAGCCCCTTATAAAACCATAAGATCTTGTGAAAACATACTCACTATCATGAGAATTGCATGAAAAAAGCTGCCTCCATAATTCAGTTACCTCCCACTGGGTCTCGCCCATGACATGTGGGAATTATAAGAAATAGAATTCAATATGAGATTTGGGTGGGGACACAGCCAAAGCATATCAAGTCCCAAAACCTCAAAAGTAGGGAAGCCAACAATGCAGCCTTTATTCTGTGGCCAAAGACCTGAGAGCCCCTGGTAAACCACTGGTGTAAGTCTAAGAGTCTGAAAGCTGTAAACGTTGAGTCAAAAGTTCAAGAGCAGGACACATCAGGCACAGGAGAATGATGAAAGCCAGAAGACTCAACAAGTCTGCTCTTTCCAATTACGTCTCCTGGCTTTATTCTAGCTGCACTGGCTGCTGATTAGATGGTACCCACCTAGATTGAAGGTGAGTCTGCCTCTGCCAGTCCAATGACTCAAATATTAATCTCTTTTGGCAACACTCTCACAGGCACACCCAGGAACAATACTTTGCATCCTTCAATCCAATCAAGTTGACACTCCATATTAACCATCAAAAGTCCATCCCTTTTAAACTTGAACATATATGTCTCCTGAACTCATATATGATCTTCAAATAAAGAAAATAATAAGGTCATGATTAAGCTTAACATAACATGGCTATCATTTGTACAACTGGAAGCACACTATTCCTTAACCCAAATGCTATTACATAAAATTAACAGCACTCAAATGCTGAGATAAAGTCAATAAATCTTGTGTCATATGATAAAGAAAAAGAAAGGAAATAAAATGAAGATATTTTCTTAGTACAAGTGTATACATGCACAAGCATACAAGTATATATATGACAATTACAGTACTTGTTTCTGCAACTGGTCACGTGGTCCTAGCTGATATTGATAGCTACTTTCTTCTTCTACCAATTCTGGATTTCCTTTGCCTTCAGCAAGAACCTCATCTGGTCTTATCTTTTCATCTGATGGAGTGACCTAAACCTTCATTCCTGAAGGGTTTTGGCCATTTGTAGTTCTGCCTGGATTGGGTTGTTGTAGTTTCTCATTGACCTTAATCACAGGGCATGGTAATACTAACTGACGCTCTAAGGGATCTCCTGTATTCCATGCATACTCTTCCTTACCTCCACTGTGGAGTAGTAGAATGATGTCATCTTGATAGTTGCGTCAATTTCCCCAGCCAACACTGTTCATTCCCTTCCTTGCCTGTTGACTTACCTTCCAGTTTAATGGAATTGTTGTTGTGTCTCCTGGTGGCAGCATTCCTCCCTCTGGAACTAAGTTCTCTAGGCCAGAAGAAAATAATGTAATGGAAACAGGAATCAAAAATTTTGTTACTGGGTCACTAGGGGTGATGGTGAGTTGTGCCACTTCCACTTCCACCCCTTGATTCCTGGACCCCTAAATACTGGCTATGGGAGAAACAGTACCATATATTGGATGCTGATTCAGAGCATACACAGGCTTCTGGAGAACTTTGCCCCAGCCCTACACAGTATTGTCACCTAGTTGGTACAATGCTAGTTGGCATTGTAATTTTGACTTCAAAAGGCCATTCTACTGTTCTGTCAATCCAGCTGCTTGAGGATGATGGGGGACATGGTAAGACCAGTGAATTCTATGAGCATGAGCCCACTGTTGCACTTCTTTAACCATAAAGAGAGTGTCTTGGTCAAAGGCAATGCTATGTGGAATACCATGATGGTGGATAAGGCATTTCATGAATCCATGGATGATAGTCTTGGCAGAAGCATAGCATGCAGGATAGGTAAACCCATATCAAGAGAAACTGTCTACTTTAGTTAGGACAAATTGCTCTCCTTTCCATGGTTGAAGAGGTCCAATATAATCAACCTGCCACCAAGTAGCTGGCTAATCACCCCCAAAAATGATGCCATATCAAGGGCTCAATGTTAGTCTCTGCTGCTGGCTAATTGGGCACTCAGCAATGGCTGTAGTCAGGTCAGCCTTTATCCAATTTGTTTGCTACTTCTTGCTCACTGAATCCAAGCAGAATAATGCCCTCAATGTAATAGATCAACGTGGTATCTTGTGGAAGTGAAAAGAGATCAAGATCTCTGCAAACAAGATTATGACACAAAGCCAGAGAGTTGATATACCCCTGAGGTAGGACAGTGAAAGTATATTGCTGGCCTTGCCAGTTGAAAGCAAGTGGCTTCTGGTGGGCCTCATGAACAGGAATGGAGAAAAAGGTATTTGCCAAATCAATGGCTGCATACCAGGTTTTAGGAGATGTGTTAATTTGTTCAAGCAATGAAACAACATGTGGTACCGAAGCTGCAATTAGGGTCACCACTTGGTTAAGCTTATGAGAATCTACTGTCATTTTCCATGATCCATCTGTCTTCTCCACAGGCCAAATAGGAAAGTTGAACAGCAATGTGGCGGGAATCACCACCCCTGCATCTTTCAAGTGCTTGATGGTGGCACTAATCTCTGCATTCCTTCTAGCTATGTGATATTGTTTTCGCTTCACTATTTTTTCTAGGTAGAGGCAGCTTTAATGGCTTCCATTTGGCCTTTCCCATCATAATGTCCCTCACTCTATGAGTCAGGGAGCCAATGTGGGGATTGTTCCAGCTGCTAAGTATGTCTATGCCAATTATGCATTCTGGCACTAGCAAAATAAACACAGGATGAGTCTGTGAACTGCTAGATCCACTGTAAGTCAGACATGACCTAAAACTCCATTAATTACCTGACCTCCATATGCCCCTTTTTAAACTGGAGGGCCACAATAACGTTTTGGGTCCCCTGGAAACAATGTCAGCTGTGAACCACTGTCCAGTAGTCTCCAAAATGTCTGATCATTCCCCTTTCCCCAGTGCAGTTATCCTGGTAAAAGGCCAGAGGTCTCCTTGGGGAAGAATGGGAGAAAGATGAACAGTATAAACTGTCGATATTATAGTGGGGTCCTTCCTCAAGGGGACATAGCCTCCCCTTAATTTAAGGGGGTCTGTAAACTGTTGCAAGTCTGCAAATTGATTGAGGGGCCATGATTCTCTATTTTTATAATTCAAATTAGTCTTTTGTCCACTTGGCCTGGAAGTTTTCTGCCTATACAAATTAAGTAAGAATGCAGTAGGCTTCCTATCAGTTTCACTTCTGGGAACACCGTGATTAATTAACTAATGCCAGAGCTCTACACGAGTCAGACTATTCTGATTGCTGCTTTGCCTCTGCTGTCCATTGTGACAGCTAGGTCCACTTTGCCTTTGATGGTTGAGTGCTGCCACTTGGCCCCTGACACCTTGGAATCCAATTATTCTCATTACATTTAAGTTTTCCAATTGAGTGACTGTGGTTCCCACTGTAAGATCAGGCATACAAAGAAGAGCAATCACGGAGATCTTAGTGAAGAATTATTAGTGAAGAGTATGTCTTACGGACCCTCCCCATTGAAATGAGTATGTCTAAAGTGGCTAATCTCTAGCATTCCCATCCCCCTAAGCCTTTTTATCCCTTCCTCCACATTAAACCAAGGGAGACTGCGCATTTCCAACTCGCTCACAGTGGACCATCTTTTGATCCGTGTTTCAGCTAACCATGGAAATAAGCTATTAGAACTTTTTTTAACTCCCTGAGCTGAACATTAAATGCAGAATCCCTGCTTAGTAGGCCCATATCGGTAAGTTCAGCCTGACCCAAGTCTATGTTTCTTCCACCATTATTCCACACCCTTAGTATCCATTCCCATGGCTGTTTTCCAGATTTCTGCTTATATAAATTAGAAAACTCAAGCAGGTCTTTTGGACTCTAGCACAACACCCTATGGATCACATTCTGAATCTTACCTCTAGGGGCCTGCCAGGAATTTAGTTATAGGCCCAGAAGCAAACAGGGGTGTTGGGGGTCGGTCCTGAGGAGAATCAGCATTGTCTGACAACTGGCTCAGGTAGTGCATAGTTAATCTCCTCAGACCAAGGTGGATAGACTGATGGCAGTGTGGGAGGGGAAGGTGATGTTGCCACCACTGGGGGTGGGGAGGCTGTTTCTTCTGGCAAAAAAAGCTCTTCAGAATTTAAGACTTCAGTGCCCCCAGCCTCATCAGTATCCTTCCACATGTTCCCATTCCAAGTGGCAGGATCCAAATCTTTTCCAATCAATGCCTTCACTTTAACAGTAGACACCTGGCAAGGCTGTGCGTGCACCTTTCACTGCATGATAAGAGCTTATGTCTGATTTTCCACAATTTTAGCCCTTTGTGAACAGGAAATAAGACTCTCACTCAGGGCAGTCTTAGAAGATTTGAAGCTCAGTATGTGTTTCTGGAGCTGGGAGTTAGAATCCCTGACTTCATTTTCTTTCATCACTTTGTCTAGCAAACTTAGGAACAACCAGCCAACTTCATTATATTCCTTGGTTGTCCACCTATGGTTGAAGGTGTTACGTATAGAGTCGCTAAACTCCTTGCCTCTCAAAAGCAGTGAATCAGGAGTATCAAACACATTTTTTTTTTGAGACAGAGTCTCACCCTATTGCCCAGGCTGGAGTGCAATGGCACAATCTCAGCTCACTGCAACCTCCACCTCCCAGGTTCAAACAATTCTCCTGCCTTAGCCTCCCAAGTAGCTGGGATTACAGGTGGCTGCCACCACACCCAGCTAATTTTTGTATTTTTAGTAGAGACGGGGTTTCACCATGCTGGCCAGGCTGGTGTCAAACTCCTGACCTCATGATCCACCTGCCTCGGCCTCCCAAAGTGCTGGGATCACAGGCGTGAGCCATCACGCCCATCCCAAACACATTTATTTTTTATAACTCTCTAAATAGTTCACACCAAGGACTATCAGTGTTCTCCATACTATCAGAAGTAGAGTCCTTGGCATTTTGGAGTCTAATCAGATTAAGCAGCCAACTCCAGAAACCATAAAACTAAATAAAGAAATCTATCCTTAAAATTTTGTTCTTCTAGGTTCACTCCTGATACAAAAATCTGTATCAGTCAGGGTGCTCCAGAGAGACAAAGCTAATAGAATAGATGTATATATGAAGGAGAGTTATTAAGGAGTATTGACTCACTGGATTACAAGGGTGAAGTCCCACAATAGGCCGCCTGCAAGCTGAGGAGCAAGGAAGGCAGTTCAAGTCCCATATCTTCAAAAGTAGGAACCTGACAGTGCAGACTTCAGTCTGTGTCCAAAGACCCAAGAGCCCCTGGCAAACCACTGGTGTAAGTTCAAGAATCCGAAAGCTGAAGAACTTGAAGTCTGATGTTTGAGGGAAGGAAGCATACAACACAGGAGAAAGATGAAGGCTGGAAGGCTCAGCAAGTCTCCTCTTTTTATCTTCTTCTGCCTGCTTTATTCTAGCTGTGCTGACAGCTAATTAGATGGTGCCCACCCAGATCGAGGGTCAGTCTGGCTCTCCTAGTTGACTCAAACATTAATTTCTTTTGGCCACACTCCACAGACACACCCAGAAACGATACTGTGTGTCCTTCAATCCAATCAGGTTGACACTCAATATTAACCATCACAGGTGCCTTCCACCATGATTGTAAGTTTCATGAGGGCTCCCCAGCCACGTGGAACTGTGAGTCAATTAAACCTCTTTTCTTTATAAATTATCTAGTCTTGAGTATTTCTTCATAGCACTGTGAGAACGGACTAATACACCACACATTCATTTATTTTATTGCTCTCTTTACAAGCAGATATATCTCTTGAAAATAAATTGCTCAATTTATTCACCATTGCATACTTTATAATCACATTGACACACAAACTACCTCCATATAAACATATATAAATTTGAAGTAGAAACTACATTCTCAAAGGAATATGTCTGCATGTGTTTACTATACTCGACTCACCCTCAAATATCTTATTTTACATATGTGTGCTATCTTTGAAAGAAATTGTTTTTAGCTGATCTTTATAACTACCCTTTATTTGTGATGCTCTTCCAACCTTCAAATCTATTTTTAAAGCATTTGAGCTTGTATGTGTGTAAAGATGAATGTACAGATGCAATTTTCAATCAATTATTTAAAAATCAGACAAATGAAAGTTACAACAAAAGCTCAATAGATACTGATTTCTTGAGGTTTTTAAGGAAATTCACTACAGATTTTTCAGCAGTTCCAAGAGATAGCACTCTGACACTTGCCAGCTGTGAGGATTGTATTTCAGATAAACAACCTTGGTCCCATTGTAGTCAGTCATCATATAACAGCTGCTGAGTAAAGAATTTTAGATTTCTTTAATTTTCTTCCAAGAGAGAAGGTCATAAACATTGAATGAATTAGTAATGAAGGCATTGTTTTTGCATTTCGTTTTTATTTCAATATAGAAAATTTTAATGTTTCAAATCTTTCTGTGTACTCAATGGTTATACTGAGTCTTACTATAACCTTAAAGAGTGATGCAAAAAGTACATTCTGGACTCAAAGCCATTTTTTTAGGCTAGCAAGCAGTGATCTTAAGTTAATGAAATCATTACAAAATTTGTAAGTGACTTTATTTAATGTAAAATAGCAGAAAAGACAGTTGACAATCAAATATAAATGATCAGAGTACATTTCAAATGGTAAGAATGAGAATTGTCCCAGATACTGGATATATTAATACATATTTATAAGCAATGCTTTTCTTTTTAATTGGTCTCTTTTTTAAACTAAGGTACAGCTACATATAGAAAATGCATGAATCTAAATTATGTGGGTCATTGGGTTTTGACCAATCTACTTACCCATAGAATCAATACCTCAATCAGGTTTTAGAGCACACTCTTAAATCTTCTCTCATGCCCCTTTCAAGTCTCTCTTCCCCTTACACAGAGGCAACCACTTTTCTACTTTCCATAGATTGGTTTGCAAGTTCCAGAACTTCATATAAATAGGATGACACAGGATATGTTCTTTTTTGCCATTTGTCTATTGATATGTGTTTACTTTTCTTTTTTACAGAGTCTAAAGATATCTTAGAAAGTTTATATTAGACATTACATTTTTAATATACTTATAATTATGAATTTTTATAGCACTGTTTTAGCTTCTTCCCATCAAATTTGATATGTTACATTTTCATTAGTGTGTAGATAATAATGGAAATATTATCTTATTTCCATTGGCCAATAGGTTTTTTAGAAGTATATTGGCAAATTTTCAATTAACTTGGAGTTACCTAGATATGTTTTTTATTAACAATCTTTGATTTAATTATATTGTAATCAGACAGCATATTTATTAACACTTCAATTTTTGAAATTTATTGTGGCTGATTGTGTTGTGGACTAGCATACAGTTTATATTGAAGAAGATTCACTGACTGTTTAAACCACATTTGATATTTTTATTAATAAAACACTCTCAAAGTTTATAATATCTTAATTTACAATGTATCAAATATATATTACTTTTACTATTTTATCTTATATATTTATTACCAATAGAAATAAATATCTTTAATATTGTGAACAAAGTTTTTAAAGGCCATGAAGTAATTGCAATTTTTTTCATTGATCATTACTATTGATTTGCACGGTTTCAACCTGTGCAGTCATTTTTATCATGAGGATGAATTATAGTTTACAAAATTATTCACTAGAATTTTGTGGCCAAATCTGGGTTTAAATTTCACATGGCTAATAAGTCTGCCTTCTTATTATAAAGCCACACAGTATACCATGACTCCCAAATAATCCCCTTTTAGACATGTACTCTGATTCACAAAACGTGTGAGATAGTGCAGAAGATGTTTCACAAATTTCCATCCTAAAAAATAAAGTACTCCAAATGACTACTCATTAATGTACAGTGTTCTATTAGCATAGCATGATATTTCTAAAATCTTTAACATAAATTAGAAAAAAGTATTTTTTAATTGTGATTAGTAAGTTATAGTACTGGTAGAATACGTATCAAGAAAAAAACAAAATATGTATGTTGGAACAACTTAGAAATTGTAAGAGTGCCTTGTTTAATAGACAACAGAGTATTGTTTCAAATTGTATAATATTTACAGAAAAGTATGTTTCCTTATTTTTATTATTTAATAAATAATACATTTATAAATTTATTATCTTTATTTTTAGATAGGGCCTCACTCTGTCACCCAGGCTGGAGTGCAGTGGCATGATCTCAGATCACTACAACCTCCATCCTCCCTACTCCCCGACCCCCACACCGGGTCAAGCAATCCTGCCACCTCAGCTTTCGTTGTTTTTAAATAATGCTAAGAACCTTATGATATAATAATAGACATGCTACACCACTAATTTTAACCCATTAAATACAGAAATACGATGAATAAATTGTTTAATGGTAGCATTAAGTGCATACATAAATCTGAGTCTATGACACCTGAAAATTGAACTACTATTATTCAAACTCTTTACCTTTACCTGTCAAATGTAGGTCAACAACTGTATAAGTTTGATAAAAAGGTGTTCACATAATTAATGCATTCCACATAATTATACAACTTGGTAAGGTAACGAAAGTAATAAAGATATTTTGTGTAAAGTAAAAAATAAATCTAAATACTATATGCCACCAGTTTCTGTAGTTTGACTTTATATTCTTTTCAAAATAATTTCAGTAGGCATATCTATTCATTCAAAAGTATATGTTAAGATGCATAATAATTTATATACTCTTCACTTGCTGCAGGACAAAGATACTCTATGTATGTCATACTATAAAAGAGGTAATTTAGCATATATATAAGAAAATCACAGATTTTGTAATATATTAGAGAATAATTACTTTTGACAGCCATTACATTTACTCAAAATAGTGAATAATTTCCATAGTATATGAGTCAGGAGAAATCCAGCAGTTGAAATTTGCAGAATTCTCAATCTAATTACATTTAAATATAAATGGTAAATTAATGCTTATTCAAAGAACAACATGAAAGAATATGCTAACAATGACTAGGTGATACATTTATTAACTCTCCCTCACTAGTGTGGGCACTGTGCCCACGTAGGGTATGTTCTGGAAATACAGCGTGATCCTGTAGCTTCAGATTCAAACCACCTGTCCCCTTCACTGATTGAAAACAAAGAATCTTTACCTAAAAATTCAAACAAATCTCCAAAATTGGCCCTTATTGGCCTGGATTGCTTCATGTGCTTATCCATGTGAACAACAGCATGTAATACACTAACTGGTTAGTTTAAAACATATGGTCCATGGAATCTGAAGCATATAGTTGACTGTGAGATAAGTATAAAGTGAAGAATTATGCCCAATTTCCCAGGACAATTATAGTATTCACCTGATGTCTCCGTGTAATCATAGTAACTCTTTCATTCTCCAAAGTCATTCAATTTAAAAAATAAATTACATGGCCACCCTAGTAAGTGGTGATTTGACAAAATCAAGATAATGGCATTGTGCTGGAGGAATTGAAAATAACTTTAGGGCTTAAAAAATCAATATCTATTACACTAGGCAGGAAAAGTATTCTTAGCAAATCACAGAAAATTATTTACATCTGTGTATATCTCATGACTAAAATAATAAAAAAGGAAGATAGAAGGAAAGGAAGATAGAAGGAAAGAAAGAGACTGGAAAGAATTGGGGGAAGTTCACTTGAGTAAGAAAAGAACTGCAGTAAAGGATCATAGTAACGATATTATTCATTGTTCAATATTTATTATTCAGTATTTTATTATAAATATATGTTTATTCTCAGTTAAAAATAACATGATTTTGAGGGGCACAATGCTACAACAATATTTTTAGTCCTTTTTTTAATCCAGCAGCAGAGTAATATGGAAAATTGCCAATAGAAGAACAAAGGTATTTGATCTGATCAAATCTCATAGAAAATCTAACAGAATTTTTTTATTAAATTAGTTAATGACATGTATCATTATTTCTAATTCTATACTATGTTTTGTTATTGACTCCCTTAATTTTCTTATTTTTTATGAAGTTCTTATCTATATTATATTTATTATACTATATCTAGTCATAAATTTTCTTTGTAAGTGCCAAAATCAGAGTTAGCCCCACTCATATCATCAATGTACACTTCCAGACACTGGGCAAGATACTTTGTATTAAATTATTCTTAAAATCAAAAAAAGACTGGGATTTCATTGATTCAAACAAATATCAAAATAATTAATTTACAAGTAAATATCAAGTTAATCAACTGTTTAGTATAAAATAGTTTACAAAAATTATAATTACATAAATACCTTCTGTTGAGGCTTAAAGATAGTTGACAAGAATGGTAGTATGATAATTCTTCAAAAAAGCTTACATCCATTCAGGAGTATTTGCTGGAAACCTACAAGAAACAAATTTTTGTCCTACTAAAAGCACTACAAACATCTACACCATAGAAATTGTTTAGTTTTTGGAAAATAACTTATCAGCTCTGCAATCATGCAGTTCCCTGAATGACAAGTCTAAGACAAAGGTAATAATTTGAAAAGAGAGTGAAACTTTACCTTTAATTTTACCTGCCAGGTTCACACCTAGGCATTGTCATTTTCAATAACTGCAGTTCCTCCATAAAGCCAGTTTCAAGTGGTACCCTAGTTCTACTCTTTCTTGATTTTTCCAGTGGCGTTCATTTGTTACTTCAATTCAAAAACATCTTTCAATCATTTTGGGACTGTCAATCCAGTGATCCTACTCTTAATTGTGCCACATTCTGCTCATTTGCCTTTGGATCAACTATCTATTGCCACATAACAAATTACTCCCAAAATCAGGGGCTTAAAACATCCCACATTTATTATCTACACTTTTAATTAGAGAACAAAACAAGGCATAATCTACGTGGGTCCTCTGCTTAAGGTCTCTTACAAGGCTGCAATCAAGACGGCAGTCGGGGCTGTGATATAATCCAAAGGCTTGACTGAAAAAGGATTCACCTTCAAACTCACTCAAAAAAATATTTGCACATTTAAGTTCTGCAAATACTGCTGGAAATGAGGGCTTCAATTTCTCACTATATGTTGACTAGAGGATTCCCTCAGTTCTTTGTGACACAGAACACTCCAACATGGCAGTTTGCTTCAACAAAAAGTGCTATCCAAGAACACAATATAGAGAGAATGCCAGCAAATTGAAGTCACAACTTTTACTACCTAATTACAGAAGGGTCATCTCATCACTTTGCTTATATTCTACTGATTAGAATAATATACTAGGTTCATTTCACAGTCTAGGACAGGAGATTATACAAGTGTATGAATACCACTAGGTAAGGATTGTTGAGAATATTCACTAGTTACCTATCAAAGTCCTCATGACACTCCAAACACAACTTAATTTACCAATGGATCATTATTATTATGCCATTGCATACTTTCCTATCTAAATCTAATCATCTACCTACTCTTTTCCTGTACCCCTAATGATTGACTAAATATGAGTGGAGAAATATGGTCTAAACTAACTTTAAATCCATAACCATAAATCTCCAAAGTACCTCTAATGCCTTTAAAAATTACACCATATTTTATGATTCACTCATTCTCCTCAAAGTCTCCTCTTCCAAATTCAATCTCAGTTTATCATTGACTTGGCTTCTCATTCAATTAATTATCAGGTGAATATATATATGTATATATTTTTGAGACTGAGTCTTGCTCTGTCGCCCAGGCTGGAGTGCACTGGCGTGATCTCAGCTCACTGAAACCTCTGTCTCCCAGGTTCAAGAGACTCTCCTGCCTCAGCCTCCTGAATAGCTGGGACTACAGGTGTGCACACCACACCTGGCTAATTTTTTGTATTTTTATTAGAGACAGATTTCACCGTCTTAGCCAGGAAGGTGAATGAGATCCACCACTACATGTATTACCTACCTTTATGAGTTTATATAGTTACCATTATTTGCAATATAGAGATAAGTTCTACGTGTTCTCAAGGTCAAGCCTGCTTACATACTAAATACTATCTTACTTGCTCAAGAAATCTCCTAGGAATTATCTACTGCTACCCTCTTGAACAATCAGTTTCTCCTTAATAAATAGGTCACACCAGCCTACAAACTTGGTATAATTTCTCAGTCTTAGAAGATGATCTTTGCTTGACTCATGGTTCCCTACCAGCTGCTCCTCCCCTTCCTGGCAACATTTCTTTCCTTCTTTTTTTACAGAAAACATTCTTTAAAAACTTTCTAGTCCCCAACTCTTATTATTTTCTCCCCTCTCCCTGTTTTAAATGTGTCTGTATTCTTTATTCACAATCATGAACCACTGTAACTTGTATGGGTTGTAATGGTTTGAGTACTTCTCATTTTCCCCAACTGTATTTTATGCATTTTATGTTCCCTGAGGGCAAAATCCACAAACATATGGTTCTCAGTTTTAGTGAGTTATTGTGTTTTGCTCAGCCACTTCTTTAATCTTACATCTTCTATTCATTCTTGCCTACCTTCACTCTCAGCAGGTATCTTGTTTCCTACTTCACAGAAGAAAAAAAAAGACTATTAGACAAGAACTCCCTAAACTTTCTTCTTCTAGTGTTTACTGTGAAGATCAGTGAAAAAAAAGACAAAGCTAACGTGATTGGAAAATACTCATGAGCACAGTATTTCAGAATAAGTGTTAGTAAAGAAAATAAACTTGAAAGATCACCAACATGAGAATAAATTAAATGAAGAGACAGAAAATAACAAAAGGTAAAGTCATAGAAGGCATATTATAAAAATCCAGGTTACAAAATATAGATTCTGAAAAACAATGCAAATATCTTAGAAACAACAATCCACTGTATTGGTACAAAGAACTTTCCTGATCCCAAAAAGGGCTGATTCAGGAGCCCTAGAGATTGGAAAAATGTTCAAGCAAAACCAGTGTATTAAGTACACACACACACACACTCATACACACAGGTAACCCGGAAGATTTTTAAATTTCAGATTTCAAGATTAAAGAGTGCTCAATTTCAACTTATGATTTATTGTCTGTTCAAGCTAATGTGCCTACATGTCTCAAGACAACTGGTATTATAAATGAAATTTATAAATTATAATGAACTGTGGCTGAGTGCCACTGCCCAGCATCAGAAGTGAGTATTGTACCACATATCTTTGACCCTAGAAAAAAAATCAAAATTTGAGTGCAGTTTCTACTGAATTGGTATCATTTTTGAACTATCATAAAGTAAAAATAATCATAAATGGAGCTATCATAATTTGGAAACCAACTGTAATAAACATGGAAATTTATTTTGATACAAAAATAGTTATGATATTAGGGTAGCACAATGAACACAGGTTTGTGTGAGACTGGATTGTTGGAATTATAGAAAAATAAATTTACATCCACAAAGGTAATAGCTGAGGAAGTGGTAGAGAAAAAGGTGATTGGAAAAGTAGAAATTAAAGCAGAGAGGCTAGGTTATGGAAAGAATCATCTATGTGGACATTGAAATCACCCAGAATTACCATAAAAGTAGTACTGATATTAAAGAGAATGACAGTAATTCAATAGTTAAAATCATTTAGACTATCTGGAGTGACTTGGTTCTTCATAGGACTAAAATGAAGGGCAATAAAGGGTGATAAAAATGGATGGTTTAAGAGTCAAATGGGAAAATCACGAAGAATGGGGGGCTACTGATCTGAAAGTGCCAATGAAGTGCAAATGTGGCCTAAGATTTTAGCTCAGTGGAACAAAGAATTGCTAATCACCATTCACATTCTTTTGTTCAAACTCTTATTTCAATTTCTGCCTTTCCAGTCTGTGTAAAGTTACATTCCCAAAGAAATAGAGAAAGAAAAACATTTATGAATTGCTTGAGAGATGGACTGAGATAAAATATAGACTATTATACACCTCTACCCATCTGTTATTATTTGAAAATATTAATTTTAATTCAAGTTAACATGTTATTACTATCATATAATTATTATATATAGTAGCAAGAACACAGAATAAATAAAATGCTGCTCCTGAAATTGAAAAGCTCATGTCCTAGGTGCAAGAAAAAGATAAACCAAGACATAATTATAATTCAATGTTTGACATAGATTGTAGAAATGTAAAGTGAAAATAGTAGGCATTTTTAAGCTGCATATTGTTAGTAAAAGCTGAACTGTGTATTAAAATGTGAGTGGAAATTTGCCTATCAGAGACTATTCAAATATGTATATTTGAATAGATCATTTATTAAATAGAGGGAAAGCATGTGTAATGGAACGGGTGTGTGAAGGTATTAGGCATATTTGTTAATAATGATTTCCTAAAATGTTTATACCAGAAGAGAAGTTCATGCAATCAAAATAGAACACAAAAATTAGCATGAGGTCAGATATAAAAAAGATTTTTTTGCAATTCTAAAATATTTCTATGGTTAAATTTGTTTTCAAAACGGTTTTTGCTGGTAATAGACATAGAGAATGTTTTGTAATCATATACAGTTGTGAACCACTGCACGTTCTTACTTTTTTGTGGTTACTGATAATTATAAAGTCCTTGAATTTTCTTTTGCAAACGTGTTTGATTATAGAATTGGTATGAATTGTGCGGAGGCTGTAAGTTAAAAAAATAATGGGCCAAACAGGCCAAACAAAAGTGAATTACTTTACTTCATACATGTTGAAAGAAGAAAAAAACAGCTACAAAATTAAAGAGTTGCAGAAATCAGAATGTCTGTCCCTAGAACTAACTGAGATTAGCACTATGAAAATCCTTCTTAATCTCTCTCTCCCTGTTTTCCTATGGATATGTGGAATATATGGATAGATCTCTTTACATTGGCCTTTGGCTTTTGCCTATCCCAATATCACTTTATCACTTTTTTCTAGCAGGTACATGTTCCAAGTTCCAAGTCATGAAATCTCAGGGAGAGATATAAATGGTTAATCCAGATTACGTGTCCAACAATGTGTATGTATTAATGGTGGTGGTGGTGGGGAGGTATATCAGAGCAAGACAGAGAAGAATGGGGAAGCTTACTATCACACATGACTTCAACCACAGAACTGATTTTCATTAGCTCCTATTAATATGCTTTGGAATTCATTTCACACAGCACATGCTTACACAAGTGATGCATGAATGCATGGAGTTTATGTAAATAATTTCAAATTGGGCAATTATGACATTATAGTATGTCACAGAAAGATAACTCTGGATATGATTTAGACGATGGAAATAGTGTAGACAAATTAGAATTTGGGTAAACAAAGTTATTAATATCAAAGTCCTAAATGAGAAATACCAAGTAGAGGTCAATTAAAATATTTTAGTTCCTTAGATCCCTTCTACTTGTTACTTGAAAAGTAGAGAAATAACATTTGATTACTACTGAAAATGGTTGTTTAAATAGTTTTGAGTCTGAAAATGTACATACAACACTAAAAAGTACATGAAGTGTCTTCATAGCATATATCAACTTTTAAAATTTGGTCTACACGAATATTTAATGTTGTACTCTATAATGAGAATAACATCATAAGGTTAAAGAGATTTGGTCAAAGAAAAAGTACTGTTTTGCTAACACAATAAATGAAGATTGCATATTACATTTATATTTTCATATATTATGAAATTGCCTTAGCTATTTTTTTATTAGACAAATAGTTTGTAAAATTATTTGTATGCTAAGATATACTACAAAAATATCAACTGAAATATAATAAAAATCCCAATGACCCTGGGCAATTACAATGTGAAATCTCATTATAATTCATTTCAAAGAAAATTATATATTCTTTAAAAAAACTTTATTTTAGGTTCAGGGGTACATGTGCATGTTTGTTATATAGGTAAATTGTCATGGGGTTTTGGTGTATAGAATATTTCATCATCATTTACCCAATAGGTAGTTTTTTAAATCTCTCTTCTCTCACCCTTCACCCTCTGGGAGGCTCCAGTGTCTGTCGTTCTCTTATTTTTTCTCTATGTACTCAATCTTTAGCTTCTACTTATAAATGAGAACATGTGGTATTTGGTTTTCTGTTACTATGTTAGTTTGGTTAGGATAATGGCCTCCAGCTCTATCCCTGTTGCTGCAAAGACATGGTATCATTCCTTTTTATGGCTGTGTGGTATTCCATGGTGTATATATACTACACTTTCTTTGCCTAGTCTACCATCGATGGGCATTTAGATTGACTCTATGTCTTTGCCATTGTGAATAGTGCTGCAGTGAACATAAGGGTACATGTGTCCTTATAGCAGAACAATTTAGATTCCTTTGGGTGTATACACAATAATAAGATTGCTGGGTTGAATGGTAGTTATATTTCAAGTTCTTTGAAAAATTGCCACACTGCTTTCCACAATGGCTGAACTAATTTACATTATTCCCAGCAGTCTGCAAGTGTTCCCTTTTCTGCACAACATAGCCAGGCATCTGTTATTTTGTTACTTTTTCACTAAAGTGATTCTGACTGGTGTGAGATGTATCTCATTGTGGTTTTGATGTACACTTCTCTAATGATTAGTGATGTTGAGCCTTTTTTCATATGCTCATTGGCCTTGTGTATGTCTTCTTTTGAAAAGCATCCGTTCATGTTTTTTGCCCACTTTTTAATGGGGCTGTTTGTTTCCTTGTAAATTTGTTTAAGTTCCTTATAGATGATGGATATTAAACTTTGTTAGATCGGTAGTTTGCAAGTATTTTCTTCCATTCTCTACATTGTCTGTTTGCTCTGCCAGTAATTCCTTTTGCTGTGCTGAAGCTCTTTAGTTTGTCAATTTTCTTTTGTTGCAATTGCATTTGGCATTTTTTTCATGAAATCTTCGTCAAGGCCTGTGTCCAGAATGGTATTTCCTAGGTTATCTTCCAGGGTTTTTATAGTTTTAGGTATTATACTTTAGCCTTTAATCCATCTTGAGTTTATTTTTGTATACTATATCAGGAAAGAGTTCAGTTTCAATCTTCTGCATATGGCCAGTCAATTATCCCAGCATCATTTATTGCTTGCTTTGGTCCACTGTCAAGGATCATCAAAATACCATCATCATACTTCACAGAACTAGCAAAAACAATCCTGAAATTCATATGTAACCAAAAGAGAGCCCACATAGCCAAAACAATACTAAGCAAAAATAACAATCAAAACAATGACAACAACAAAAACAAAAACCAAAACTGGAAGTATCACATTACCTGACTTTAAATTATACTACAAAGGTATTGTTACCAATGCAATATGAAACTTGTATAAAAATAGGCATGTACACCAATGAAACAGAATAGAGAACCCAGAAATAAAGCCAAATACTTATAGTCAACTGATCCTTGACAAAGCATACAAAAACATAAATTGGGAAAAGGACATTCTATTTAACAAATAGTCCTGGGGAAACTGGCAAACCACAAGTAGAAGAATAAAACTGGACACCCAGCTCTCACTTTATATGAAAATCAACATACAATTGATCAAAGACTTAAATCTAAGACCTGAAACAATAAACATTCTGGAAGACAATTTCAGAAAAACTCTTCTAGACATTGGCTTACACAAAGAATTCATTACTAAGACCTCAAAAACATAAACAAAAATAAATAAATGAGAGCTAATTAAACTAAAAAGCTTCTGCACAGCAAAAGAAATAATTAGCAGAGTAAACAGACAACCCACAGAGCAGGAGAAAATATCCACAAGGTACGCATCTGACAAAGGACTAATATCCAGAATAGACAAGGAACTCAAACAAATCTGCAATAATAAAACAAATAATCCCATCAAAAAGTGGACAAAGGACATGAATAGAAAAATTCTCAAAAGAAGATATACAAACAGCCAACATGAGAAAAGATTCAACATGACTAATTATCAGGGAAATGAAAATTAAAACCACAATGAGATACTACTTTACACCTGAAAGAACGGCCATAATGTAAAAGCCACAACACAATGGATGCTGGTGTGGATGTGGTGAAAACAGAACACTCTTAGCCTGCTCGTGGGAATGTAAATTAGGACAAACACCATGGAAAACAGTAAGGAGGTTTTTAAGGAACAAAATATAGAATCCAGCAATCCAGCTCCTGGGTGTCTACCCAAAGGAAAAGATGTCATTATATGAAAAAGACACTTGCACATGCATGTTTATAACAGCACAATTCACAATTGCAAAAATGTGGAACCAGCCTAAATGTGCATCAACCAATGAGTGAATAAAGAAAATTATATATATATGTGTGTGTGTGTGTGTGTGTGTGTGTGTGTGATGTATGCATACATACAAATACACCATGGGATACTACTCAGACATAAAAGGGAACAAAATAATGGCATTCGCAGCAACCTGGATGGAGTTGGAGACCCTTATTCTAAGTGAAGTAACTCAGGAATAAAAAAATTAAAAAAAAATTTATGTTCTCACTTATAAGTGCAGCTAAGGTATGAGGATGCAAAGGCATGATGATATAATGTTCTTTAGGGACTCAATGGAGAAGGTTGGGAAGGAGACAAGAAATAAAAGAGTACACATTGGTTACAGTGTGCACTGCTCTGGTGACGGGTGCAGTAAAATCCCAGAAATCACCATGAAATAACTTATCCATGTAACCAAAAACCATCTGTATCCACAAAATTATTGAAATAAAAATAAAAATTAAAAGATGAAAATAAAAACAGATGGTGTGGTAGGTGTGTGGCATTATGTCTTGGCTCTCTATTCTGTTCCACTGGTCTTGGTGTCTGTTTTTGTAACAGTACTATGCTATTTTGATTACTGTAGCCTTGTAGTACAGTTTAAAGTTGGGAAATATGATACCTGAAGCTTTGTTTTTTTGCCTTTGATTGCCTTGGCTATCTGGGCTCTTTTTTGGTTTCATGTGAATTTTAAAATATATTTTTCTATTTCTGTGAAAAATGTCATTGGTAGTTTGACAGAAATAGCATTAAATCTGTAAATTATTTTGGACAGTATGGACCTTTTAACAATATTGATTCTTTCTTTCCATGAGCATGGAATATTTTTACATTTGTTTACATCATCTCTGTTTTCTTTCAGCAGTATTTTGTAATTATTATTGTATAGATCTTTCACCTTCATGGTTAGCTATATTTCTAGGTGTTTTATTCTTTTTGTGGCTATTTTAATGGGATGGCATTCTTGATTGGGCTCTCAGCTTGGACATTGTTGGTGTATAGAAATGCTACTGATTTTTGCACATTGATTTTGTATCCTGAGAATTTGCTGAAATTGTGTATCAGATCTAGGAGTTCTTTGGAGGAGACTATGAGGTTTTCTAGGTATAAAATTATATTACCTGCAAACAGAGATAGTTTGCCTTCCTCTCTTCCTATTTGGATGCCTTTTATTTCTTTCTCTTACCTGATAGCTCTGGCTAGAGCTTCTAGTACTATGTTGAATAGAAGTGGTGAGTGGACATCCTTGTCTTGTTCCAGTTCTCAAGAGGAAAGCTTTTAGCTTTTGCCCATTCAGTATGATGGTTGTAGATTTCTCATAGATGGCTTTAATTATTTTGAGGTATGTTCCTTCAATGCCTACTTTTTTGAAGATTTTTAACATGAAAGTATGGCAAATTTTATTGAAAGTCTCTTCTGCATCTATGGAGATAATCATGTGGTATTTGATTGTAGTTCTATTTATGTAAATAAATCACTTTTTTTATTTGCATATGTTGAACCAACCTTGCATCCTAGGGATAAAGTCTATTTGATTGCGTTGGATTAGCTTTTTGATGTGACGCTGGATTCAGTTTGCTAGTATTTTATTGAGGATTTTCGCATGTATGTTCATCAAGGATATTGGCCTAAAGTTTTCTTTTTGTGTGTGTGCTTCTGCTAGGTTTTGGTATCAGAATGATGCTCACCTTTGAGAATCATTTAGAGAGGAGTACCTCCTTTTCAGTCTGTTTTTGGAATAATTTCAGTAGGTGTGGTACCAGCTTTTCTTTATACCTCCGGTAGAATTCAGCTGTGTACCCATCTTATTCTGTTTTTTTGTTTTTTTTTTTTTTTTTCTGGGTAGTAGGCTTCTTATTACTGACTCAATTATGGAACACATTATTCTTCTTTTCAAGAATTTAGTTTCTTCTTGCTTCCATCTTGGGAGGTTATATGTTGTAAGTTTTCTAATGTGCGTACATAGAGATTTTTGTAGTAGTCTCTGAGAGACTTTATATTTCTGTAGGGTCAGTGGTAATATCCCCTTTGTCATTTATGATTGTGTTTATTTGGATCTTCTCTCTTTTTCTATATTAGTCTATCTAGCAGTAAATCAATCTTATTTATTCTTTAAAAAAATTCCTGGATTCCTTGATCTTTGGTATGTTTTGTTGTATCTCAAATTCTTTCATTTCGGCTCTAATTTTGGTTATTTCTTGTCTTCTCCTAGCATTGGAATTGGTTTGTCCTTGTTTTTCTAATTCCTCTAGGAATGATGTTAAGTTGTTAATGTGAAATCTTTCTAATTTTTTGATAAAACCTCTTAACACTGCTTTAGCTGTGTCCCAGAGATTGTGCTATCTTGTATCTTTGCTCTCATTAGTTTTAAAGAATTTCTCGATTTCTGCGTTAGTTTCATTATTTTTCTAAAAGTCATTCAGAAACAGGTTTAATTTCCGTGTAATTGTATGGTTTTGAGCTTTTGTGTTGGTTTCTGTTTTTATTGATCTATGGTGAAAGTATGTGGTTGGTATGATTTTGGCTTTTTAAAATTTGCTGAGTATTGTTTTATTGCTGAATGTATGGTTGATTTTAGATGATATGCTATGTGCAGATGAAAAGAACATCTATTCTGCTGTTTTTGTATGGAAAGTTCTGGAGATTTCTATTGAGCTCCTTTGGCCAAGTGTCTAGTTCAGGTCCCAAATATCTTTGTTAGTTTTCTGCATGGATGATCTGTCTAATACTGTCAGTGCAGCATTGATGACCCCCAGTATTACTGTGTGGTTATCTATGTCTCTTCATAGGTCTCTAAGAACCTGCTTTATGAATCTTGGTGCTCTTGTGTTGAGTACATATAAATCTGGAAAACTTAGGTCTTCTTGTTGAATTGAACCTTTTACCATTACATAATGCTCTTCTTTGTCTTTTTTATCTTTGTCACTTTGAAGTCTGTTTTGCCTGAAATTAGAACAGAAACTCCTGCTTTTTTCCGTTTGTTTGGTAGATATTTCTTTATCTGTTTACTCTGTGCCTATGAAAGTTATAAGTTTAAATAATAATACTGAATTTGCTTTAATTTTAACAGCTTTATTGAGATATAGTTGATATGCAAAGAACTTCACATGTTCAATGTGTACAATTTAATGAGTTTGGACATATGCAAACACCCGTAATACCATCATCACCACAATCAAGGTAATGGATGTGTTCAATATCAACCAAAGTTGCCTTGTGTCCGAGTGTGTATGTGTGTGTGTTTTTAGAATACTTAACATGAAATCTATTATTTAACAAATTTTGAAGTGCACAACACCATATTGTTAACTACAAGAAATGTGCTTTATAAGAGATCTCTGGAACTATTAATCTGGCATAACCAAAAGTCTAGTTTTAAAATAAATTATCCACAAACATACTTTTATCAGAGAGAGATAGAGAGACATAAAAAGAGGGAGAGAAACACAAAGTATCCAAATATTCCTAGTTGTCACAAATGTTCAACTTTAGCTTTAAAGATTTTTAAAAATATTTTTAAGTGGTCTACATGATCCATAAGTAAATTTCAAAACCCAAAGAAATACATAAATATTATTTACAATGTTAACTCCAAATTTTTGAGAGATATGTTTAAAGAATATGTAGAATCAGAGGTGGGGGTTAGGAAAAACACCTTCATGCATGGCAATTTTCCTCAATTTATGAAGAGCTCAGTTGTTGCCCTTAAATTGATTATTCCACAACAGTTTGCAAGAATGAGAGAACCTATTAGTATGAATTACCCTATGTACCCTTTAACAGCATCTCCACAAAAGGAAGATTATTGTTTCAGTTTCAGGGAAAAAAAATGTTTACACTGAGATAATGGGGGCAACTAGGCACGTCTCTCTTTTCATGGAACTTCTATGTTAGTGGGCGGTAAACTAGAAATAAATTTAGTAACAATAGCAAATGGTGACATAGATGAAGAAAAATAATAAATAAAAAAAGACAATTTTAGATTGGGTAGTTTAACAAGGCATCTCTGTTTATATGTTTTGAAAAAGAAACCTGAATGCACTGAGGTAGGAAGCTATGAAAACAAATGAGGGAAGTGAGCTCCAAACAGATGAACTGTATGTTCAAATTTCCTGATGTGGACCCAGATATAATTGTGTTTGAAATTTACCAAGAAGGCCAATTTAACTTAAAGTTATAAGAGATAATGATAATCACTGTAAGTAGCATACTAGGTACTTTGTTTATACTACACTTCTAAAATCCTAGGCCTTATTAACTCATTTATGTTAATTTATTTTATAATCACCATGATCCTCTGATGTACATATTATTATGATCTGTGTCTTATAAAGAAACTGATAAACAGACAGGTTAAGTAACTTTTTCAAGGTTTTTACCTGACACATATGGGATCCAGATTTCAAACCCAAAGCAGTGTGACTCCAATGTCATGCTCTCATTCGCAAATGTTTAATAAATTTTAGATAGATAAATGATAGTTACTCATGTAGATACAAATGTTGCATTCTACTTTCATGTCCATTTCAAACATTACAAATTATAATGTTGTAAGATCTTTTTACTGAGCATCATATTTAAATATGCTTAAGTATGATCCTTTGGTTGAAAAACAGAATTTGTACATCAAGATATTGTCTTCATTCAGAAGTTCATACAAGTGATATGCTGCCATATTATTTTTTTAACTTAATGATAAAAGGAGTCAACAGTTTTTTCTCTATCTCAAGTATATATAATTTGTTACAAAAATTCAGTTTTGTTAACATTACTGTACTACTGTATAAATCAAATGTAAACTATGCGCTTGGACATTTAGGTATCAGATTAAACTTAATCCAAATCATAATCTTATGAATGTATAGCACTCCAGAAGAAGGATTCAAAATTTCTGTAAATCACTGCCTGCTCTTTTTTGTCTCCATTATGTCTTGGCTGTAAAATCCAGCCCATTCATTGATTTCTGTGAAAACTAATTCATTCACACTCAAGCTATGAGGCTGATAACTTTTCAAAAGTTTCATGATTCTTCTTGTAGCTCATGAATCCACAATATTTTCATGTTCTTTTTTCTTCACCTCACGCAGAAACCTGCAAATGCTTTCCAAGTATTGTGCAGAAAATTTCATTTGACAATCAGGCCCAAAAAAGGGTCACTTAATAACTTATGGAAGAATCAAGTAGTTTGTTCCCTCCTCACCTGCACATGGGCACATACACACACACACACTAACCCGCTATCCAAAGTGAAATTCCCTTTCTAAAAATGGTAGTGGAAAATACAAATAACTCTGTCTAATAACAATTATTCAGAAATCCTATGCCAAAATTACATCCTTTAAATTATAACCAGGAAATGCCAAATACTTCCAGATACATTTTTAAATAGTTTGCCTGGTTTATATGGTGCCACTACAAGTATACCTTTAAGTTAGGACAATGTTGGGGATACTGAGTTTGGTCTTTCAATGTAGTTGGAAAATTCACATAGAGAATGGTCAGCCTTGGGCAGCTTTTCTAGAGTCATCTGATTATGTAACTAGAAAGTGTATTGGGCAAAATAGAGAAGGAGTAGAGTTGACTTGGAAGTGAGCATGAAGAGGTGAAAGCATAGTAAAGAACAAATTGAAGCCCATTTGATTACTGAAGATGAACAGGGCAGGATGTTCAAGAAGAGAAATAAATTTATAGTCTGATTGCCTGCATGTTACCAGGGCCCTGAGCTGTGTGCTCTAGACTCTAGAAATGTACTAAATATTTAGACAATTTTAAATGGACATAAAGTTGCCATGCCATTTGCAAAGTATAAGACTTCTCAATTTCAGAATAGGTTAGAAATTGTGTATTAGGGATGAGGGAGTTGTGAAATGGGATTTTGTTGTTGACTGTTTCCGGGATTTGTACATTACTATTTTAACAAATGTAAGTGAGAAATTGGCTTGAGTTATTTATGTGTTGTCCTAGTCCGTTTGTGCTACTATAATGGAATATCATAGACTGGGTAATTTATAAGAAAAGAAATGCATTCTTTATAGTTCTGGAGACTGGGAAGTCCAAGATGAAGGCATCAGCAGATTTCCTGTCCGGTGAGTGCTGCACTCTGCTTCCAAGATGCACCTTGTTGCATTTTCTGGAGGGGATAAATGTCATGTCCTCAAATGGAAGAGAGGAGAGAAAGATTAATTTGGCACCTATGGTCCTTTATTAGGCACTAATCCTTTTCTTGAGCTTAGCGCTCTCATGCCCTAATCACTTCCCAAGGCCTCATCTGCTGATATTGTTGCATTGGTGATTAACTTTCCATATGTATTTTGGAGGCAAAATGAACATTCAAACCATAGCATAATTACTGCAATAAGAGAGGTAAAAGAATATTATAAAGCCCTTCCTGAACACCAATTAAGAAGTGTTGGGGTCTACTTAGATTCTACAACACAAAGGCTGTGTCTTGCAATATCATTTTTAGGAATCATTGACCTTTCATATCCTTGTTTTCCATTATTTGTTTAATGTAGTAACCTCTTTCTGAAGTATAGCATCATACTCTGAAAACAAATGTCTTACATATGTAAAAGTACCTTAAAATACTTGAACATGAAACAAATTGTCTTTTTTTATATTGTATGTGCTGAATGTAATGCTATTCCATTACCATTTAAAATCTGTTACACCATATACATTAAACTGCATTTAGTTGATCTGTGATATTCACCACAGCAACTTTATTTCAAGATTCTTGTCTCACATGGAAAATATTTCCAGGTTGACAGAGAGAAATATTCATGTAGATATTCAGAAGATTTCAACCATAATGGCAAAAAGAAGGTTGAAAATGACAGGACATGGTTTGTCATGGGAAGTGGTTCCAAAAGAGTGAAGTTAATAATATATAGGACAGACTTTCAATCAGCCAGCTGTCTCAGATCAGCTAGGAAATGGTCTTGACAGACAAATCTGTGAAGTAGTTGCCAGATGTTTGACACTTAAATATTAAAGTGGGTCACCAATAACTTTCTTGATTCACAAGGTTTCCAAAGTGGATAATATCACAGACTTTTAACACTGAAATCAGAGAAACTTAAAGCTGGAGGAACTCGAGTACTGACAGTGAGTACTTGCCAAGCACATGCATGGTACTACAATTAAGGACAGTTTTAAATAGTATCAATAATTTGTGAGAGATATTCTAAATACTTTTGGCAAACTAAAACTAGAGAAATTCTTTTCTTCCATACTGGCTAATGAAATAGATTTTTAACTCTTTCCCATTTAGAAAAAAAAAAAAGTGCAGCTACCTGCCAGTGCTGATTTAATTTTACATAAACATTCTCTTTGAGGCTGAGGCAAATCTGACTGATTTTCAATGTGAAAATAAAACATAAAAACTATCCTTAGAGTTATTTCTAAATAGAACTAAAATCAAAATCATCAGAACCATCAGAATCATCTATTTTGGAAAAATCAGACTCTTGAAACTTTGGCCAGCAACTGAGAACGATGTTAACATCACGCCTAGGAATGCTATACTTTCTGGCATTTGACATTTTAATAATAAAAGCGAGATACTTTGTGGCAAAATTATCTCTGGGTAAATGCTGCAGCCAGCAAGTGCCACCAGCAAGTATTCTTGGGACAAATGGGAAAAGGGTTAAAAATAGAAAAACAATGATAAAGTATACCAACAAGAGAAATAGAAGAAAGTATAACCTAAAGAAATTAATTTTATAACATGATGATCAATAAAAAAAACCTAGAACTCTACCATGAAGAGTGCCAAGAGGTAGTGATTCAAGGCTCACATCCTCAACCTCTGTGAAAAGGTAGCCACTATGATTGCCCCAGTTGTCTTATCTCCTGGTGTGCATTCATTATAAATGAGCCACTTGAGTGTGGAGTGGACATATTGGCTCATTTATTAAAAAAAAAAAACGTGCTAGAAATTTTGAGGTATCTCAATACTAGGTTATAAAAAGACATTGGCTTCCATCTTGGGATCTCTTCCCCTCTCTCTCTCCCCGTCACTCACATTAGGGTAAGTAAGATGCCTTGCTATGAGCATCCTCCTAGAGAGCCCCATGTGGCATAGTGAGAAACTTTGTCCTTCAGTCTAACATCATATGAAGAACCGAAGCAAACGACCACATGAATGAGCACAGAAGTGAATCTTTCAGCCCCAGTTGTCTTCAGCTGACTACCACCCCGGGTGATAGCTTCACTTCAACATTATGAGAAAACACTGAGAGACAACCACAGAGCTAAGCTGCTCCTGGATTCCCTACTCACAGAACTGTGAAACAATGTTTTGTTTTGTAAACTTCTAAGTCTGAGGTTATCTTGCTATACAGAAATAGGTGGTTAATTTACCTGCAGAACCCAGAAGTCACGCTGGAGAGTAGATGAGTAGCTCCTAGGAGGACAAATCTACCCAGAAGTGCAATGGACAAATAAGGGAAGAACCCATGTGCCTGATGATCCATGGCAGGGAAAGAGGCTCCTGGACCACGTTGGAATTAGAAGATATATTATAAGAAGATATATTATACTCTTATAACAAGATAAGAAAAAGTAATCTTACAAAACATTAACCAGCAAATATTTTTTTAAAATGACCATATGCCACCGCAGCTATTTACATCTCCCATCACACACTCCAGTCTGACTCAGTAGAAAAACAAGAGTGAATTGAAAAAGAAATGCTCATTCATTCAACTGTGACGAGGGTGGACAATAATTTTTCAGTTACCATAAGAACCAAAATGTTATTTATTCATACCTCAGAGATTTGTTAGTTTGAGCAAAATAAAAAGAATGGGCATGCCATCTACCAATATGCATTCCCTACTCCCTATCACCACCAAAGGAAAAGGATTATAAAAAAGGAAAGCTAAAGAAGGTAACAGAATTTGAGATTGTGAAAGACTAAACAAACAACTTTACATAGAAGAATACAGAGAGCTATTAAAAAGCTACACCCTCCCCTCCAAAAAACACCCACCAGGCTTATAAAGTTTTTAAGAAAACTCCTACCATATGTTCAATTTCCAGGTAGTTTTACTGTATCATAAGTTGTCATAGAACATTAACAAAGAAGAAAACATTCTGTACTTATTTTTCTTAAGCAAGTATAACATCAATATCTAATCCTGATAAACATAGTAACATTAAAACTGCAGAATATCATTATTAATATCTATGCAAAAATACTTAATATTAGTAAACTGAATCCAGCACCACATTAAGAAAATACTATGAACTGTGAACAACTGTGATTTATTTCAAGGATGTATGATTATTTGAGTTTTGAGAAATCTAGTAAAATGTTGTAACACATTAATAACTTGAAGGATAAAAAAGACATAAATTATTATTTTCAGCATAATCTCTGAAAAAGCTTTGAAAATGTTAAATATGCATTTATGATAAAATAAGAAAAGAAGAAATGAGGTTCATGCACATAACATAAAGATTAAAAATAAAGGGTTTCTTTCCACCCTCTGTGTCTCAAAGTGGCTCCTCATCCCACACTTCAAGCCAGAAAGTATTTTGAAGTGCTTCTGTCAGTGCTCAATATGCAGTTTTAGGATTTGCTCTGCCATTGTGTCTAGACCAGAAGATAACAGAGAGGGAAAATTCCTATGAAACTCATGGGGTTATTTATTGTTTAAGTATTTGTTTTCTACCCTAATCTACCTACTCCAATTTGGTATTAAGAATTTTCAGATAGTGGCTCCACTCTTTCTTTGAGGATCTTTAGATACATTTATGCATAGAGGCAGGGTGAAGTATGATTGCTTTATCTTAATAAGAACTTGAAATCTGTTTTTACTCTCAGCTAATTGATATTGCGTGCAGTATACAGAAGTATTTTAATCATTTTCTCATTTGTATTCATCACTTAATTCCTATTGATCACGAAATTGTAAGAAAAATAGGAGACATGATCTAGTTTAAGCCCTCATAATTTCACTTTTCTAGATGTTCCTTAAGAATATCTAAGAGTAAGCCAATTGTGATGGCTCATGCTTATAATCCCAGCTACTTGGGAGGTTGAGGAGGGGTTGCTGAGGCCAGGAGTTCAAGACCAGCCTGGGTAACATAAAAAACAAAACAAAACAAACAAACATAAAGTTTAGGGATGAAGAAAACAGCAGAGACATAGGTTTTATACTTCAAAATTCCCTCCCTAAAAAACATCGGAGCGACTATTCTAGCAAAACAGAAATCTAAAAGACAATATCTATAGCAAAACTAGATGAAAATATATTTTCACTATTCTCACAATCAGCACTATTGGGCAAATCACAGCTGGCAAAAAACACATATGATTTCACTAAGTTGTGGAAGGAAAGGCAAGAAAGAAAATAAACTTTTGGTGTTTTCAAAACACTGAAAAAATTAGAAAATCAAAACCAAAATCCCCAAATTAGAAAATCAAAAATATGATCACAAGGTCGATTCTGGGGAGTTCTCTCTTCCGTCTAACAGCAGCAGTCAAACCTGGGTTTCTCCAGACTTCTGTTAATGGGCTAAACAAATTAGTGATTGTTTGGAGCAAAGAAAATGTGCATAAAAACTCTTAAGACCTAAAGTTAATTGAAAATGTAAAGACTATATTTCCTAATTCTATCCTTTACAATTTTAAATGATGATTAATTCAGTAGAAACAAGCAACCCTAGCATCCAGATTTAGGTTTCTCATTGCCATTTCCTCCTCAATGCAACCAATACTATTAAGAGATGTGTTGGGGCAAGGTGTGTTCAAGATGAGCCTGGTAGACTTCTAATTTTATAATGAAAAAACCCTATCACTACTTGTATTTTGTCAAGAGGACACAGGCAACAACTTGAAGTGATTCCTAATGATCAATGAGATAAATTAAGCATCAGTAAGAACACAGCCAAAAAATATTGAATCACATCAAATACATTAAAATCAATGAATCTATAATTATGTTAAGAAATGAAAATACTTTGATCAATTTTGGAGGATTCTAGGATATCAATTCATTCTGAAAACTAACCATTATAGACAAATATTAAGTATTTAACCTTTCATTTTTCACAAGATAATCAAATTGTACATAATGAGGAACTTTTTAATATAGAAAATCCAACTATTAAATCAGAAAACAATAACAAGATTTTAATATCATCAATTTCAAACTGCTAATAAATCAATTAATCTCATAATAATTAAATTACCAAAATAAAAAGAGACAATGGATGTGATTTTCCTCATCATGAAAGTACACAATTTCACCTGTGAAGTATTCTTGCAAAAATATTTAAAGTTAAATTAGATAGTGCATTGCAGTATTACCAACAATTTACAAAAAATAAGCATAAAATATGTTAGGAAACAGAAGTGCAATCAGCAAAATTCAGACTGCGAGAAATTCTATAGAGAACAAGACTCAGTTTCTTCAACAAATAAATACAAAGACAAAAAGGAGAGATGAAGATTAAATTGCTGGATTAAGCGAGAGAATTTAGACTTAGTAACAGATTACAATAAATAAGCTTTATTTTATGTTATAATTCAAGCTATTAAAATCTATTATAGAACATGGGAACATGAATAGATTAAGTAATATGATATTTGCTATTAGCTTCAAAGTCTTCAGGTATAGTCTTGGTAGAGAATAAATTGGGGATATAAATGAAACAAAACAAGACATCACTTAAAGGGTGTTGAAACCTGGTAATGAGTGCCTAGACATGAATTGTACTAGATTCTCTATCCTTGTACATTATTTTAATTTTCCATTAATAGTTTAAGAAACTCAAAATGTAAAGTTACTGATAATTGATCAGAACTAAGTATAAAAGCTAATGTGAATTCAGACATGTTTACGGCTGAAAATTAATTATTTTCAAGGTTTTTATCTACTGTGATATTAACTCTTATAAACTTATTTCCATAATTAAAAGAGTGCTATGTAAACTAAGATTTATAGTTCTTACTGAATATTAGGTATTAAGAACATTTCGGCAGTGATCCAAAGCCTTTTTGAAGACAAAGAGGAATTATAATCACTTACTGATCTGCTAAGAGATTCTTACAGGAAACCTGAGAAAGCTCATACACCTCAACATATTCAAAGGACTGATGTATATTTATTATGTGTAATTTAAAACATTTTTCCTTTCAACATAGCATTATTTGGTAATAATATTGTAAATTCATAGCTCCAATTAGAATCACTTCATTTAAATATGTGCTCATAATCACTCAATTCTGAGTAAATGTAATTACAAATGAATAGGAATAATTAAACCTATTTTTGAAAGGTACTTTTTAATATATTGCTATCTCTTTTGGGTTTATTTTTCTCATTTTAAAAAGCAGTGATCCACAAAAACATTCATACATAAACTCTCGTTTCATCAATCCCAGAAAATTTCAGTTAATTTCTCACTTTCACCACACTTCCAATACCCAGCTTTGTTGGGAAAAGCTGCAATAGCTTACATAGAGCAGAGCTCTGGAAGCAGAAAACACATTTTGCAACATAATGCAGAAGTTTAAAAACTTCTTGTTTGATTGTATTCATATATAAATAAATTTAATTTACTTTCTTGCATGTTTAATAAAATATTTCAATGGCCAATCTGTTTAATGTTAAAAGCTAATTGGAAAGATCAAACTTCTAACTTCCTGACTACATGAAACACAGTTCCACTGAGGGCCATTGGTTGAATACTCCCAGTGCCTTACATAATTTGCCTTATTATATGCATCTATTTACATAGATTTTGCATCTGTCTCTGTGCAAATTAAAAAAAAAAAAAAGAATGGCTTACTCACTGCTGAGTACAAAGGCATTTGATTTTTCCATGCATTTGAGGACATAAGGTACTGTTAGTTATCAGCCCTTCAACAGCATTAAGATCCTGAAAATTATTTTTTCTTATCATTTTTTTATTTGCCAAATTTAGTGCCATTTTGCTTATTTTCACCTAATTAAAGTCCGGTATCAAAAATTTGTCTAAATTAAGACAAATTGGCTGGGCATGGGGCTCATGCATATAATCCCTAGAATTTGGGAGGCCAAACCAGAAGGATCACTTGAGCCTAGGAGTTCCAGACTAGCCTGGACAACATAATTAGACTTCTTCATTTAAAAAAAAAAGAGAAAAAGGAGCTGGGCATGGTGGCCTGTGCCTGTAGTTCCAGCTAAATGCTGAGGCTGAGGCTGGAGAAATCTTGAGCCTAGGAGGTTGAGGCTGCAGTGAGCCAAAATGAGGCCACTGCACTCTAGTCTGAGAGGGTCTCACTCTGTTATCTTACTTTTAATAAAGTAAATTAACCCAAGTTGATCTGAATATATCACTGCTACTTAATTAATTTATTTATGCTATCTCAAAGTCTATCATTTCAATTTATTGTTAATGCTTATTTTTGGCCTTTTGTCCCCACCTTCCTTGGTTAAAGGTATCCAGATGTCATGCAGTCATTTCTTTACCCTTTCCAAATTATACATTCTAAAGCACTCTTAAAGTACTCTATGCACAATGTTAAGCTTTTCTATAATATCAAGATTGTATTCTTTTTAATTGACATGAGTAACCCAAGATCATATGAAATGTACTTTTAGAATTGTCTCAATCCTGGAAGTTAGACATATTTCTCTATTCAATCAAGATTTTCTGCCAAAATGTTACATGGTCCTTTAGATTCTACATGCTAGATTGGCAAATAGAGACTCTTTGTGACTATTATCATGTCTCCATATTTTACTGCAAATTCCTCTTTCTACATAAATCCAACAGTCACATGTTTTTATCTTGTAAGAATCACCATTTTATTCACTCTCCATTCTGGTCCAGCTGCTTCTCAATAATACTGCCCAAGTTAATCTTGTTATTCTTATCCTGTTAAAAAGTCATTAATACTTTATTTTCATGAAATCTGTAAATTTGCCTATTTTAAAATAAATCAAGTGGGTATTTGCATAACAAATATGCACATAACCTATGTATGCTCCTAAATAAATTTAAAAGTAAATTGAACTTAACACATTTCAAATAAGGAAGCACTACTTTCTAAATATTTATATTTCTTTGTGAACTATTACTTCAGGTTTCTCAAATTAATCATAATAATTAAAAAATTAATTCGGGACAGAATCAAATTATTAGAAGAGAGAACAGAATTTACAATAAATTCAAGTAATAAATATGATTATCATATTTATATAATTTATATTATAGATTTATAATTACAGAAAGACAGCCTTTACATTTTCAGAAACACAATATTAGCTTCTTAAACTTTCTTCTTCACTGATTCAGTAGGTTGTTTGTTCATAGTATCAATGATATATACTGCTTTAATATGGATGATATAGAGTGGCTATTATAGCATTTTTTTTTAATTTTCAAATTTTTAAATTTGACTAGCAAATTGTTGACAAATGAAATAATTATTATTTTCTGGCTTCTCAGACTGTATTGAAAACCAAACAAAATAAAACCCAGACAGACTCCCTCAATCCTGGATGGCTTTAGTTCAACCAATAATACCTGTAGGCCCATAAATTACTCTACTTTACTTAAAAGAAAAAAGAAAAGTTCAAAAATAAATAGTATAATAGTTCAGAGGAAAAAGGCTAAGTGTTCAGGAACTTGATAATGCTTAAGGAAATTTTGAAGATTCACCATAATGATGTACCATGCAGTTTTTCTTTCAGCAAAGATATCTTGAACAGATTCCATGGATCAGCCACTAAAATATAGGATGAGGAAAAAAAAATTAATGACTAATACACAATTTCTTATTTCAGGAGCATCAAAGCCCAATGGAAAAGATGAATACATACACATAATGCCAATAAATTTTATAGTTGTAACAGTCTTATGCAAAATGTGTTATTAGAAAATTGACTCTTTTTACAAGTCTTAATATTTTCAAAAATAGTTACTGAATAATTTTAAACAAGAAAATTAAATTACAAAAGCATTATACAATAAGATTTCAATGAAGAAAAATTATAATAGGAGAAAAACCTTATTAAAAATCAGCAATAATTATATCCATGAGGCTGCATTAATAGAATATTCTGAATATTTATTCCTGTTTGAAATTTGCATTTTCATGGTTGTATTTATATATACATATATATATATATATTTGCACTAGAAAATCAAAATTACAAGTCATAGGAAAAATTGGTGCAGGCTTTACATGTATATGATGAAGCAGGAGGACATGTAGGCTATAGTTGCTATAGTATGGTTAAAAAAATAAGGATGTAAGATATTAACAGGCAAATTATTTAGTTAGTTTTTAGCTACATAGAAAGGACATAATTATTGCTTCATAGCATCCAGTTTAAATTTTTGAAGTGATGTTATTCAAGTCAAAAAAAGGAGCCCCAAATTATGAGAAATACTTTCTCAAACACTGCATTTGAGGTGCCTGTTGAATATGCAAATTATGACTTCCCAGAGACAGTTGATTGTAAACCATTAGAGCTCAGAAGAGATATATGGTCCAGAAGCATAATTTGAATGTGTATGTATGTTTAGTATTTGAAATACTGTTTATATACAATACGTTTCTAAGAAAGCTGTGTAGGAACTAAAAGCAGAAACTCAAGAAAGAAAGATGAGGAAAAGAGGCCAAATAAGAGCATTCAAAGAGTAATGGGACAAAATATCTATAAATGCTGGTAGAAAAGAAGATAGAATATGACAGAAGTTGTGTCTAAAGAACCAAAACATGTAAAAGTTTTAAATTGAGAAAGTGTGTTTATGATTATAATGGTAAATTAAGCAAGATATTTCTTCCTTGGTATTCTAATGACCCATACAATTTTATAAAAATGATAAGACCTATATCACTGCTAGAAAGTCAGTTAACTGCAGTTCAGAAAGAACCAGCTTTAGGGAGATAAGCACACATTTACTTACAAATTTTCCCCTTAAAAATGCTGCAACAACCAGGGGAAATGCTGTAACAACACCAAACATACATCCAGATTTGATGCACAAAGAACAAATAGAACGATTCTCAGTAGTATCTCTTTCACAACAGTGACTCATGGTAGTTAAGTTACGAGGCTTTTGGCTATTCACATCAGCACCCCCAAGCAAAACCATGCTATTGGACAAGGGCTTCTTGATGAAACATGGCTTCTTCCAAAATATGATGCTATAAAAAGGTGGAAGAGGGTAATTGGGATAGTAATTGGACGAAACTGAAATTGGTTCACAGAAAACATGGCCTCTGGCACAGCATTCTCACCAAACAGAGAATACATTATATGAATATGAAATTTATTTAAATGACTTCCTAGGGCTCTGGGTGACTGTCAACTTGCTCTGAGTTCTGCATAATTGAACTGGCTTTCAAAATTTACATTTACCAAACTCTTCCTCCTTAGTATTTTAGAGGATGATGCTAATGAAAACCAATTGGATAGTTCTAGTGTTTTAGAAAAATCTATACTTTTCCAGTAAATGTTAGGGTTGGATTGATCTCTCTTCTTTCAACAGTGAATAAAAGGAGAGCAAATGATCCTTCCTAAAAAGTGTATAAAATGTGTAGAAATAGGAGCATAAAACTTTTTGAAAAGTATATAATAGAATAGCTATATATATATAAATATAGCTATATATATAAATATAGCTATATATATAAATATATATATATATTTAGATAGAGCCTTCTTTGAATCCTATTCACATTTAAAAATATATGGAATTTGGGAATCAAAATCTTGAAAGATTAAATAACTTATTACCAGACCAAAATACAGATGGAGTTTAAGAGAGTGAAATAAATCATTTGTGGGCCTTAAAAGTGAAACAATAAGAATAAAATCTGCATTAGATACCATAAAGGCAGAATTAACACTGAAGAAATGTAATCATTGATGAAGGCCTTTGAAATAAATCTCTCCAGGATACAGAAGCAAAAATAGAAATTAGAAAAATTGGTACAGTTGACAGGACATACGGATCTGAAATGTGGATAATTAATGTTCAGTAAAGACTACAGGATAAATTCACAAGGACTTTATTTAAAAATATTTTAAAAGTATAAAACTTTACTAAAATTAGAAGCAATATAACATTGCAGATATAAAAGTAACCATTCATTCAAAATTGAGGGAAAGAAAATAACTTTGAGGAATAGCATTTTTAGTGTTAAGGATAAAAGAAGTTTATGTTGCTCAGGCAAAAATTATTTACAAAATTATAAAAAGCAAATTTTAGATCCACATCCTTAAATTTTAAAAATAAAAAATGCAGCAACATTTGCAGAAGAATGAAAGTAAAGCAAGGGTGTAAAATACTTTTTCAAAGAGATAAATAACATAGTGCTCAGTTTGGCTTATAGTAAGCAAAAATAAATGTTCAATGAAGAAAGAGAGAAGTAAAATTAAAAATGACCCCAAAAGGAAAAGAAAGAAGTGAAGATTAATATGAATACAAAATTCACTGTAAAAAAGAAAATTTGGTGGTTAGTACAAGAACTGATGAAATAAATATTGTGCATATCCTTAAATAACTAGTATGGCAGAATGTCAAATTTATGAGTAGATAGTTAAGGAAAAAACAGCATACTTACATTAACATCAATATATTTAATACTAATAAGCAATTGTACTCCAAGAAGCAGGAAGATAGAAAGAGCATTAGGTAGAAAAAAAAAAACTGGCTTATTCTCCTATGTTTATTTTACATAGGAAAGAACCAGAAGTTCTTTGACATTTTATAATTAATGAATAATAATTCTCACTAAAAAAAATATTAGGCAGCAAATCTGTTCATCCTCCTGGGTAAGAGGAAAACACACTGCAGCTGGAGGTGGTGGGGAGTTAGCAAAAAAAAAAAAATGCCATTTGCATAAAACTGTCCTGTGTTTAACCCATTACAATCTGCTACAACTGGGTGAGGGGTAAGATGAATGAGAAATCCCCACCGTGGACAGTCAGCAGGCAAGCAACAGCAGGTGGCAAGACACAGTAGTCTACCGCTGAGCGACAGGCAAGCGGATGGAGAGAGGCTCTCTTTTAGGGCAGATATAGAGGAAAAGTCTGAAGCTGCTGATGGCAGAGAAGAAATATTAAGAAAAACCCTCCAGTATACCAACCTTAACTAAGGTAATGCCAGAAGAATGTGAAGCCTACACTGAAGGTAACCATAACAACAATAAAGTCCCAACCTAGCTCAACTCTTGACAGCATTCATCTAACCCCCCCACTTGCATCCAAGCAAAGACAGATACTATTTCAAGGCATATTCTTTATATATCTCAGCTTCTAATATTCTACATACTATGTTCAGAAATCAATTAAGAAATTCAAACTCGAACAGGCCAGAATAAAACAACTTTTTGTCAAGAGGTGAGATGATTAACAACAACATTCAGAGACTATCCCAATGTGACTCTATAAGGAAGAGACAATTAAGTGGCTATGTTAAATATGCTAAAGGCTCTAATGGAAAAAGAGATCAGCATATGTTTATCAACTGGTAAGTTTAATGGACAAATTATGTAAAAGAATAGAAATAATACAGTGTTAAAAGAAAACACAGACAGTCACAGATGAAGAATGCCTTTAAGGAGCTCATCGGTGGACTAGTTGAAGTCAGAAAGAGCATCAGTGAACTTGAAGATAGGTCAACAGAAATTTTACAAAGTCAAATAAATGATTACAAAAGTATAGAGGTAAAGAACAATAATAAAATAAGCATCCGAGAAGAGTGGACCAATAGCAAATGGTATAACATAACTCTAATTAAAATCCCAGAAGGAAAAGACACCAAGAAGAGGGAAGAAGAAAACATATGAAAACATAATGGATGAAACATTTTTATAAACAGTAAAAAAAAAAACCCAACACCACATATTTAAGAACAAACAAACAAATAAATAAGAAACACATACACACATATCTAGACATTGTATTCAAACTGATGAAAACCAAAGTTAAAAAAAACCTTGAAATCAAATTGAGCGGGGGAAAAAGAACTTGTTACATACAGAGAAAGAAAGATAAGAAAAATAAAATTCTCATCAGAATTTATGATATTCCACAAGACAATGGAGTAACACCTTTAGTGTCTAAAAGAAGAAAATGTTTAACCAGCAAAAGTTAATTTAAAAAATAAAGAAGGAATAAAAATATTAAAGCAAAGAAAGGCATTGAATTCATTACCTGCAGACCTACATTTCAGTTATGAAAGATAAATAAGCTCCATATATCTAATATACAGCATGATGATTAGTGGTAACAGTACTGTATTATATGCTTTAAATTTGCTAAAGGGTAGATCCTATGTGTTTTCACCAAAATAAAAAAGTAATTATGTGAGGTGATGGATAAGATAATAAGCTGGATTGTCGTGATTATTTTTAGTTATATATATATATATAATTTTTAGTTATATATAATTATCAAGTTTTAAATCTTAAGTATACACAATAAAAAGTATAGAATATGAGGAGCTCTCGTGAAGAAAAAAGAAATTTTTAAAGCAAAAATAGTGTAGTAAGATAGAGAAGACTACATCAACACCAAGAAATAAGATCCATGAAAATGGTTAAAGTAAAGGTAAATTATAAAAGATTATTTCTATTTTAACTGTATTAAGAAATAAATGATTATCTAAATCAAAAAAATACTGTTGGATTTTTACTACTTTGGATTAATAGCATATTCAAAAGTGAAATATATAAAATCAATAGTACAATACACAGGATGGAGTACTTAAGTGTATACTGTTTTTTTTAACACTACTAATGAAGTGGTATTAATATTACTTGAAGGTGAACTGTGATTAATTAAAGTTGTATGTTTCAACCTTAGTGCAATCACTAAACATCAGTGAAAGAGGTGTAAGTCTTAAGCTAATCATAGAGATAATATGGAATCATATAAAATATCCAAACCAAGCATAAAAATAGAAGGGGATAACAATCAAGCCAGATGAACAACTAGAAACAATTTAGCAAGATAGGACATGTTAACCCAAACATAGAGCTAATCATATGGAATATAAATAAACTAAACACACACATACAGCCACCACCACCCAAGACTGTCAGACTGGACAAACAGCAAAGCCCAACCATATGCTGCCATGAGCTGAGGCCTTCTGCTGCAACTCAATTCCAGTTCAGGGTCTCTCATCTTAATCCCACTTTTCTCTCACCATAAACCTCTTTCATATAAATCTCTATCTCAGAATACATTTCCCAATACAGTATTAATTAGTGGGAATAAAAATAGGCTGAAAACTTCACAAACTGTTAGAACAGGGACTTATAAATTATGTTCTAATGAACACTTGTTCTAAACAATGTTAATACATGTTACCCTCGTAAAAGTAAAAAAAAATAAATATAAAAAACTAGAAATTCAGGCTTAAACAAAGTTAAAGTTAATTTTTACAGAAAATAAGAAAACCATTCCAGTGATAAAATTAATGAGAATAATATAAGGAGTCATAGCAGAGTGGTTACTTGAAGCCAGACTGATTAGATTTGAATTCCGGATCCACCGCTTAATAGAAGTATGAAACCCTGGGCAAGCTACTTGATACCCTACTAATGACTCAATCTCCTAATTTAAAAATCAGGATAACAATAGAGGCCTTATTTCCTACTGTGGCTATGAAAATTAAATAAGAATATAAGTGAAATACTTTAAAGATAGTGAGCACTATATGAAAACTACTATTCTTTCCTGTGTGCTTCTGATTATGACTTTTCTTCATGGATCACTCCATTAGTATAATTTTGCAGAATAATATTATGAGAAAGGATGATATTTCGAAGATCTGCTACTTTGTTTTTTATGTATGCTAAATTGAGAAAGCAAGAAAATAAATTGTATGCCTCTTCTCTCTTACACCATAGCAAGTAAATGACTCTAATTTTCCCCTGAGACAAGACCTATATTGATTCAGTACATTAAAAATCTTTTTTATTTTATGTTTCCCTTGGCTTTGATGTCTGATTACTTAGATGGAAACAAAACCTCTGTATGAGATCCACAATGGAACAACATACAGCTCTGCAATACCCTTTTCAGTGCACACTGCTCTATGAGATATTACATTAGTTTAACCTTGCTAGATTAGGAAAAAAAATTACGACTACCATTGTAACCTATTTAACTTGTCTTTTTAATAGATGAGATGCATTTAAACACACAGGTACACCCCCACACATTCTAAGACAACATTGTTTTATGAGGCCTTTCAGAATAAATCACTTTAAATAGTGATTCAGTTATACAGACAGTAAAATATAAAATTATCACCTGTTACCACTCACCCCAGCAAACACACACGCATATACAATCACACATAATCACAATGGCACACATAGACAGACACACATATACATACATGCACACACAGCCTCATTCACCCTCATACTCTCAAATGTACCTAATTCACACTCATATACTTCCTCTCCCATATGTACACACATTCACAAATATATTCACACACTCACTCTTACAGTACAGTCATACTGTAACTATGTTATATGTATTTCTAATGTTACTAAATGTGGAAAAATATATCTGGGAGTTTAGGAGCACTGTGGATAAGATGTTCTGATTGCTCTGAAAAGTAAACATTGGGTCTCTACATTAAAGTGAAGACCAAGGGAACCACAGACATTGTATATTTAATAATTAACATTTCATCAGGTTTTTGGATCAGTTAAACCTCACCACAACTGGGCACGAGTTTCTTCAGGTCATTTCAGGTACTTAAAGCTGGTGGGACAACCTCAACCATTAGATAGTATTCATTCTGGCATAGATTTTATTTTACTTTAATTTTTTGTTTTTCTTGCTGTCCCGCTGTATCTGAATACTTACGGTAATTTACTGCAGCAATGGAATTGTCAAGTTTTGTAGATGTTATTAAGATGGCATCAAGAAAAATGTAAATGAATTCAAAACATTTGGATTAGTCTGCCACTAGCTCTCTAAGAAACTAGCCCCCTGATGACCATGTTCTAGACCTTTTCTCTTTGCACCCCGCTGACTTCTCATGATTGCCCTTTCGCTACTCAGACTAGAGTCAAGTGATGTTTCCAACATGCTTCTGAAGTGTCACAGTTTCCACTGCCACATTGTCCTCTAATGTCTCTATCAAAGCTAAAAATTTAATTTTTCAGGGCTTTGATTTCTTTTCTGAGACTGGCTTAATACTGGCCTATATGAATTCTTTATGATTACCAAAAAAGTCATTAAAAAGTCATCCTTTGAAACTGGCAGATTTTTTTCTCTTTTTCTAACTCTAAAATACAAAACAGAATATCTACATACTTGAGTTTAATATGAACAAAAATATTACATTAAAACTTCTGTATACTTTGTAATATATATCAAAATTTACCTCTGGAAAGAGAATTTACTATACATATTCTCAATTATTTGTTTACCTCTACTATTTATAATCTGAGCATAATTATTAGAAATCATTACTTAAAAGCTCTCTGTTGTGAAACTAGAGCTATAATTCGAAAGCAACTTTTAGATTTGTTCTTGTTGTTGTTGTTGTTACAGTGTCTCACTCTGTTGTGCTGGCTGAAGTGCAGCATGATTGTGGCTCACTGGATCTCCAGGGCTCAAGTGATCCATCTCAGCCTCTCGAGTAGCTGGGACTACAGGTGCATGCCATCACACCCCGCTAATTTTTGTAGTTTTTTGTGGAGACACTGTTTCTCCATGTTGCCCAGCCTGGTCTACAGTAGCTGGGCCCAAGCAATCTGCCCATCTTAGCCTCCCAAAGTACGGTAGACTACAGGTGGAAGCCACTGCTCCCAGCTAGCTTTTAGATCTTAATCAAATGTGATGCTTTTCAAAAAAGGACATACTACATGGTCTCGCTTCTAAATATGCTGTGTAATAAGTCTAGATGTGGTCATAATGACTTATATTTTCAGAAGTGCCTAAGAAAAAATGATATATCTGTAATGGGAAAAAAACATGAACAGAAAAATTCAAATGTTTTCCCTACATTCTCAATATGTTAGTGATATATCAACATATTTGACCTTAATGGTGCTTCTCTACCATATTTTTGCAAGCAGAATCTCTGTCATCTCTACTTAAACAAAATTATCTTAACACAGGCCACTTAGAAGAGTATATGCTCCAATATTATATTCTAATTTATTAAAGCTAATATATAATATCTACCTATTATGAATAATGTCTGTAATAATAGGAAGTTTGGGGAGAGAGAGAGAATATCATTTTTCTCTGAAGATAGTCGTTATAATTGAAAAGAAATTTAAAAAATATATTTCTAAAGTATTTTAAAATATGTCTCATATAAATATAAATATATTTGCCAAATATTTTATTGAAATTAATAAAGAAGCCAGTAGGATAGTAAAATAGACTCAAAAACATTTTAAAAACTGATTGTTTTGGGGCATTAGTAGGATAAACCTACTAGCCTAGTTACAAAGCTAGGTAATATCCAAAGGCATCATAAAGCATATATTTGGGGGCTTATTTTTTCCTTCAGACAAAAATTATTTGCATCTGTACAAAATCTACTTTTCTCCAAAAGCCTACAAGTTAACATATAGCTTCACTAAGTCTCAGAACTTTAACCCATGGTATATAGTAATTAGAATTAAAATAAATATTCCTCTACACAGTCTTTTACCCTTATGTGACATCGGAAAAATAGTTTACCCATTTTTTCCTTATTGTCAAATTTAAGATAAAATTTTCTCTGAAGTTCTTTTATAGCCTAGTGTTTTTAAGCAAGAATTTTGGGAGTGATAATGATTTCATCTGGAATCCAAGATTAGAAAGGGATCACGGAAATAAACATCCTCAATTTACCAAAGAAGAATTTGACTTTGGAGTTGAAAGAAATAATGAATGTTCTCAGAGACTATGTATGGCAGAGTTTGGCCTCCCACAGATATTGCTTAAATCTGTTATCACCGCAGCATCTCACAGTCCCTAGATATTTTTCAAAAATGAAGTAACCAGAACACAGTAATTTGAACAAATAGGTCAAAAGAGTAGAGCCAATCAAGCTGTAAGATCATCTTCCCTCTATTCTTGCCATCATCCTCCTATATTTTGGCACACCACAAAGACACACAGGTGATTCATGCAGCCACAGGTGGCAGTCATTGTCCCTTCACACAAAATCCAGATCTACTTCTGGAATTTTTCATTATCCCAAAAATTCCATTAGTCTAGAGGCCTTTTTCGATGCTCCATTTCCTCAGGGTACTATTTTTTTGTAGAAATTGATAAACTAATTTTATCTGTGAGGTTAATTGACACTGAACTTTCAATTTCCTGCTCTTTTCAAATTGGAAATATAATTTCACACTAGCTTTATGTGAATAGCAAAATGATGTAAAAATGATTTACATTTAAGGAATGAATACAAAAAACTTGGAGAGTAATTTCTTAGAAAAAATATTTTCCTGGTAGATAGTCCTAAAATTACACCATAGAGGTTCTGGTTTTCCAAGATATTATGATATTAGCCATAAACAGTCAACATTTTAAATCCACATGTATTTTAGTAATTCAGCAAATTATAAACATTATTTCCAAAATACCCATTTGCTATAATAGTTATTACTGATGTTGTCTTTTATTTAAATTCCAGATTCTAAATTTATAAATTCTTTACTATTATTTGTTATTTATCTTTTGCTCACTAAGCTCTAGCTTGCTAAATGTGAACAATGTTAGAATCTAGAGAAGTGCCACAAATGTTTTAAAAATTTACTACTGTTTCTTATATCATTACCTTAGGGGACACAATACCTCTTTTCAATGAAATTCATCACTATATTTTAAAACATCTAAATTATCTCTTTACAACAATAATTTTATATATTTTCCACTAACCCATATATATCATTAAACATTATTCTTTATTTTTCCTATTTAACCATTTCTTCTTTGAAATGCACACATTCATTTCATGACCTGTATCAAGAGAATCAATGATTTCTAGTTACAGTACTGAAGATAATAAAAATATTTTTTAAAATTTCTATAGAAGTCATCTTTTTTAAAGAAGCACAGTTCAGGTATAGCCTCTATTTCTTCTCATGGAAATGTAAAAATTAAATCTTAGAGCAATTTTTTGAAATGTACTACAATTTTACAACTTACAATTTTTTTCATACTGATTGATTTCAATTAAATAAGTGTTCAACCCTTCCTCATTGAGAAGTCTCAACAGTTTTGTATGTTTGTGATATTTTTTGGGTGAACATATATTACCACTGATTAATTATGTTTCAAATTTATTGAATCATAAATGCATTTATTAAACAATGAAAGTATGTAGAATTTTGAACACATTTGAAGTATGATTTTCAGTTGTGTTTCTGTTATTTACAAAGTAAATGATATAGTTGAACACATGATACCTGCCTGTAAGTCTTCAAAGTGGTATAATGTACACATGTAAGTTTGAATAAGGCTATATATACTAACCAGTAAATATACATGATTCCAACTTTTTCTTAAACATACCGAGCAGTATCACTGTGTCTGCTAAAATTTTTGGTTAAAAATACTCTTCGGTAAGCAGATGTCAACCAAAATGACAGAGGACAGACATCCAAATTTCACTCCTCAATGAAAATAATGAAAATGTAGAAAAAATTATAAAACTTCATTTTTCATAACTCTGAAAATTAAAATGACCAAAGTCTTGCAGCAAGCAATTTTGTCAGTAAAGATGGCTGAACCTTGATAAGAACAGTGAGTTTTGTACAAATTTCATCTATTGCAGTCCAGTTCCCCTGCCCCCTTTCCAGCTCTCTGGCAACCTTGAAAAATAACAACTTGCTTTCAGGTACTAGATAGAGAAGGCTAGAACTGTAACAACCCAATGGGTTATTCCTGCCTGCTGCACAAATAAAATCAATTCACAGAGCCCATGGCAGTGCAGTAAAGAAACAGTTTAACTGATGTGAGGCCAGCCACGCCTTGCGGGAGATAAAGTTATTACTCAAATCAACCTCTCTGAGCATTTGGGGCTATAGTTTTACAAAAGTAGTTTGAAGGAAGGGGTAGGGGTGGCTAGGCAATGGGTGCTTGCTGCTGATTGGTTGGGCATGCAATCATAGGAGTATGGTAAATGGTCCTTTTGCAAGCTGAGTCACTTCTGGGTGAGGCCACAAGAGTGGTCAGTGGGTCTAGGTGGAGCCATTATCAGTGGGTCCAGTTGGAGCCACTGGTCATCGGACATTGCAAAAAACCTTAAAAGATATCTCAAAAGGCCAGTCTTTGGTTCTACAATAGTGATGTTATCTGCAGGAGTAATTGAGAAAGTTGTGTATCTTGTGACCTCTGGAATAATGGCTGACAATTATTTATGTCTACACCTTAGCAGAATTCAGGCTCCTGTAGCCTTCTAGCCTAGTGGTCTCTCAGTTTTACAAATGCATTTGAGGTTTGGCAAAGGGCTACTATCATTTAAACTGTAAACTAAGTGTCTCCCAAAGTTAGTTTGGCCTATACCCAGAAATAGTTAAGGGCAGCTTGGAGGTTAAATGCAAGATGAGGGTTGGCTAGATCAGATCTCTCCCACTGCCCCAATTTTCTCAGTGATACAATTTTTGCAAAGTGGTTTCAGATTGAGAGCTCCTTCAAAGTTTTATTCCCAATGAAAATATGTTATTCAACCTGTCTGGTGGTTTCCTGGAAGAACCTGTTCAAAAGACTTATCTTTTTTGTGACCTCAATCAAAATTGCTCAGTACTAAAACTTCTCCACAAGGAAGCATTTGTCACATGTCTTAACATCGCAGCTTTCTCTGGTGATTGGTAACAGCTCGGGGAAACAATAGACTAAACAAAAACTTAAAAGAAGCAAGGAATGAGATGTCCTTAAGGGCTTGGAAAATGTTTAACATATTCCTGGGAATCAAGGTGGCCATACACATGCTTAGGCTGTCCAAATTCTCCTGAAAGACCTTTAGAGGTCTTAGGTTCACACCTCTACCTTACCTTGAGATTTCATGCAACCAGGAAGTGAGGACTCAGGAGAGTTTTCAAGTACCTGACTGCTGAAGGCATGCTCTAAACTCAAACAGGACCCCACAGCAGAGAATGGGAGACTTATTTTCCCAGGTATCTGAGGAAATCTGTGTCCAATGATTAAGTGACCATGAAACTAAGCAAGTGAAGACTTTAGTGGTTACTCATTTCAAAGATACAGACTTTACAGGATTAGTTCAGAAGTGTCACTTAAACTACTACAACAGGTAGTAACAACAGACCCTTAAAGAGGGGGGATCTAATTTCCAGAGATTCCATATTGTATTGATTTAAATATTGTTTTTACTAAAAAAAAGAAATAATAAAAATATAAAGAAATAAGAAACTATGATCCATGCACAGGGGAAAAAATAAAACATTCAATATAAACTATAAACCATTTATGAGGAAGCCCATAAGATGAATTTACTAGACAATGACTAGAATTCAGCGATTTTACATGGGTTCAAGGAGCTAAACAACACAATTTCTAAACAAAATTAAAGGAAAGTACGAGGCTAATATCTCACAAAATGGAGAATAATAATAAAGAAATAAAATTATTAAAATAATCCAAGTAGAAATTCTGCAGCTGAAAAGTTCAGTAACTGAAATAAAAAATCACTAGAGAGTAAACAGTAGATATGAACAGGTAGAGAAAGAGTCAATGAACTAGAAAACAGGGCAATTAACATTATGCAGTTTGAAAAAAATTAAAAAAAGGAAAATATAATTAGGGACAATAAACAGAAAAGTCATAATTCCAGATTTTAAAAGCTACTGTAAAGCTACAGTAATCAAGACAGTGTGGTACTATCATGGTTCTAGTCTAATATTGTTATTAGAAAGGGTTTCCAATCCAGATCCCAAAAGAGGCTTCTTGGATCTCCCACAAGAAAGAATTCATGGCGAGTCTATAGAGTAAAGTGAAAACAAGTTTATTAGGATAGTAAAGGAATAAAAAAAATGGCTACTCCATAGACATAGCCTCCCTGAGGGCTGCTGGTTGCCCATTTTTATGGTTATTTCTTGATTATATTGTGAATGAGGGTTGGATTATTCCTGAGTTTTTGGGAAGGGGTGGGCAATTCCTGGAATGGAGGGTTTCTCCTCTTTCTAGACCCTATAGGATAACTTCCTGATGTTGCCATCACATCTATAAACTCTCATGGTGCTGGTGGGAGTGTCTTTTAACATGCTTATTTTATAAGAGGCACAGAACACACTAGGTGATGTGAAAAAATATACATGATCATATGCAGATGAGAAAACAATTTGTAAATTCAGGAAATCCTTATTGTATGCTTATATTTTGGCATAGCAAACATTTCAACATTTTGAAAGATAATTGCATTTGTCATATTACTCACAATGTAGCGAAGCATGCATGTAAACATCTGTTCTAAAAATTGAAGGGCTTGTTTATTAAGACATTTTAATGAATTTTCATATTTAAGAACAAAATACTAGAACTGAATCATACAGTAAATTTTTTTAGGGAGATGGCTTTGCAACTCCTCATGCATGTTTTAATGTAGAATTCCCAGTGCACAAATCTTAAGGCTATTTTGTCTATTAATGTATTATCCTTATCTTACTGAATGGTTACTTCCAAATATCACTATGGTCTTATTAATTTTTGTGTTATTAAATCTTATCCAATTTTGATTATTTCTGGGGATTATTTTCTTTGGTATTGTGACTTTATTCATAATAAAATTTAGAAGAAATAAAACTCAAATGATCAAGGTCAAAAATAAGTCTGGAATATAAATTTTCTATGCCATGACAATCTCTAAAAGAGTAGCTAAATGCACTTTAGGTTTTGTCTTGTTTTGTATTCATAAGTGGAAAATAATGCATTTAAGTAGAAGAAATATGCATCTTTATAGCCTCAGAGTTCTTGCATCATAGTAGCCTGTAACTTGTCATAGACTTTGCTGTCTGTGATAAATAGTGGATTTCTGATCTGGTATGCAGTAGAAGTACTGCATGCTTTATACCCATTAACATATCTTCTGTATTTTAACTTATAGTGGAAAACTATAATCATAATGATAAAACAATAATCTGGGTGTTTGGGAGATCTTCTAAGAGTTACTAAAAATAATATGATGTGAAGCTAATTGTAGGCATATTAACTCAAAGTGTGTGAGGCTATCTGATGAGGCTGAGGAAACAGCATCATTTTTTTGCTTCTGGCTTAGTTAGTAATGGAACAAGAAGCGGAAACACTCACTTCTTTTACAATGGAAATAAAGTAAAAATATCAGTTAAATTAAAGTAACATAACATTATTCCCCCATCTCCTTGTTAATTTAATATTTTAAAAAACGATTTCAATATTGAAGAGCTTTGTGATAATTTCAGCAACTTTATGAAGATATAAATGACATATTAACAGGATTCTTGTCATTTGTAAAAGGTTAGTCTCCATAGAACCCCTAGGAAACCAACTATAAATGTTAGAAATAACAAATATAATACAGTTTTTTTTAGATAAAATCAATATTATGATCAAGCTGTTAAAGAATACTTGAATCAGGTGGGTTATGATGTATTCATGGCCAAGTTCAAGAACCATACCACATAAAACCAGTCCCCAAAATGGTACAGAGATTGTATTAAGAAAACTCAGTCACAAAGATATGAATTTCTTAAGTGGGTGGACCCCAAATTTCTGAGAAACATGTAGTTTTCCAAGAGGCACATTAATCAAGACCTGAAGAAAATGCAGGCCAACAATACCAAGGCTATGAGTTCATGTGTCGAGGGTATCAAGGTCTTCACAAAGCCAAAGAAAATCAAGCCCAATACCCCAAAGGGGATCAGCTTGAAGCCCAATCAACTTCTTTGTATTGCCTACCTGAGGCTCAGGAAGTGTGCCCTCATCACCAAAGGTCTCAGGCTCTTGTGGCCAAAGGCTCAAACCAGGACCCAAGCTGTGGCTTGGTCTTTTGCCTCACTTCCCAGCTCCAGTTCAAAACCCTGTCTCTGAGGTAGAGTCCTCTGCCTGCCTGTGTGAGGACAGAAGAACTGATGTGACGCCTGGGCTGTCTTCTGCATGGAGCTGGTGTCCTCTGTCCTATTTGTACAAATAAATCTGAGGTAGGGAAGAAAAAAAGCTTAATTTTTTGAGTGCTTAAAAATATATGGTATGTTTCAACAACAAAGGCACAATAAAATTACTAGCTTATTATTTGATGAACTTCTGCAAAAATATATATTTTCTCTATTGTCAAGTCCAAATCTCCTAGCAGCCAACACTGAACAATAAATATTAGACTTTGTGAATTCTCAGGGGCCAAGTGAGCAGATGCTCCTAATACAAGCAAACAAAATAAAATATCTGAGAGAAAACCTCATATCAACTTACCATTCTGCCTCTGAGAGAAGTAAGCAACAGAAAAAAAACATTTTGTGTTTGTGCACGCTTATGTTCTTACCTTATGTATGTAGTGAGCAGAAGCAAGAGCTGCTAGCAAGAGGCTTCCCCGGCTCATCAATCATATTCAAAGAGTATGTACCATCTGCATTGGAAAAGCAGATGAAAGGAAGGAGACAATGCTTTACAATTTTCACTCTCCAGCCCTTAATACTCCCCCAATGATCGTACTACTTTTATAATAATGCAATGTTAATACTGTCATAAAAACTGCAAAGATATGTTCACATTAACTTCTAAATCTTCAATACCAGGGATAAGCAAACTTTTTCCAAAAAGGACCAGATAGTAAATCTTTTAGGCTATGTAGGCCACAAGGCAAAATTGGCATATTATGTAAAAATTTGTATAACAAGAGATAAACCTCTTACACATACTTTCGTATAAGATATCATTTCTATTTTATTTTACATAAATAAATAATAAATAAATAAATAATAAAATAAAATAATATAAATATATAAAATAAAATTAATAAGTACATAATTATTTTATGTAAATAAATAATAATTGAATTTAATTCATCATAGTACAGGTTTATGTACCGTGTATTAGCAAAATGAAACTTTTGGAGGGGGTAAAGGTTAATAGTTGCTTGATTGTATCTCAAAGTTAGTATTCCCTATCAGTACAAGTGACTGAAATACTTCATAAGTTAATGCTGATAAGAAATGAGATTTCATGTATCTTATCTTTGAAAATATTTTCACACAAATATGTACTATGTGCTACTGATATTACATGAGCTCTTTTTTTTTTTTTCTTTTCTGAGACAGAGTCTTGCTCTGTCACCAGGCTGGAGTGCAGTGGCATGATCTTGGCTCACTGCAACCTCCGCCTTCCAGTTCAAGGGATTCCCCTGCCTCAGCCTCCCAAGTAGCTGGGACTACAGGCACGTGCCACCATGCCCTGCTAATTTTTGTATTTTTAGTAGAGATGGGGTTTCACTATGTTGGCCAGGATGGTCTCGATCTCTTGACCTCATGATCCACCTGCCTCAGCCTCCAAAATTGCTGGGATTACAGGCATGAGCAACTGCTCCCAGCCTCATAAGCTCATATTTTTATTGAGAATATTTATTCCTTGGAATGCATTTATGGAAGTCTATTAGATAATTTCTTTGACATTTATCTCTAATCACGTCATTGCATTACCAAGTAGTCACTTTCAGTTGAAGTTTAGGTAGACCTCCTCAATTGTACAGTTCAGTGGATTCTGAAATATCCTCTGAAAATGTAATAAAATATAAATACTAGAAATTTGTGTTGAAACGGTGATGTATTTTTTTATTTTATCATTTGACCACATGGGAAATGTTTTTAAAAGGTTGATGTCACTTAAAATACAAATAATGTTAGTTGTCATCAAAATGACATTACTGCAATATCAGTTTCACGTAGAAATACTATTTTACCCTTTAATTTTACACTGAATTTCACTGAGCAGCATTACCTATTCTGCATAAAAATAATCACTAAAGCCACTAAATATATTCTAATAGTAATTAAGGATGGTTCTTCCATTCAGAAAACAATGTCAGTCTTAGTCCTGAGCTAAAAAAATAAAAATAAAAATAAAATCCCAGTAATACTTTACCACAGCTAAACCATCAGATTTTGATGTGGTAGAAAAAGTCAAGTTACTTCACGTATATTTCTAACTCACATACCTGGCAATAGTTAACTCCAGGAAAATAAATCAAATTCATCAATAAACTTCTAGTTAAATTGTATATGATAGTATAAAATATTTTTCTGACAAGTACCTGCTAAAGAATAATAAAATGAATTAATGGATACTATAAACACCCTTTGCTATCACAAGCTTTGTAAATTTTCCCAACTAATTATTTATCTGCTTTATGTATAATTTTTACCACCATGAGTTCTAACACATCTTAGCAGATTCTGCTTTGGGTTGTACAGAATTAAGTCTTAGTCGCTTGGAAAACACTGCCTCTTGTACTTGTTTCAAACAATCTATTTATAGACTTTAACTCTTCAGTCACTTTCAAGTTGACAGTGACGCATCTGTTAAACAACAACAACAACAAAAACAAAAACAGTATTAGTAAAATTTGTAAACCTATCAAGAGCCAAGGAAAACTAATAAAAATATTTGCCTTGTTTTTTTAATTGATTATGGATATCACACTCAATGTTCTCTTTATGTAGCTGCTCTCTCTAAAGAGCTTGCAGTCTTAAATAAGTTTTTTATCTTAAGCTTAAGCTACATTTGTTCAGCTGCTGCAATCACATGTAATTCAGTTGATTCACTACTAATAAAGAATTTTTCTCATTTGTCTTACAAGTAAGCCACTCAAAATATTTATTTGCTTACTGCTTGACTATTAGAATTTTTTGTGTGTGAAGAAATTCTTCCACGATGAGATATTCCATTTTCAATTTTCAACTTTTCTGATTATTGTCTTCTTGTAAGATGGGATTACTGTGATAAGCATGTGTGTATGTGCATGGTATATTCTGACAATGTCAATGTGCATTATGTTCTTTTTATACCATTAGAGTGCCATTGTAAAATAAACATAACTGTCTTCTAATTCAGTAACCAAAAAATTGTCATACCATGACTTAAAAACACAACACTCAAACTTAAGTTTTCTTGTTGAGTATGTACTAGTATAAACAAACATAAAAAAGTCGGAGTACAATGATAAATATGACACCCCAAATGCTGTCCAGGCATAATTGTGTCACTGCAAGTTTTGGTTTGCCTACCAGTGGTGAAAACAATGAATGGAGACTGTTGCAGCTATTAAACTCTGTTGCTATAGCAAGAAAACAGCCATAGACAATACATCAAGGAAGGAGCATGGCTGTGTCCCAATTAAATTTTATTTATGAAAAATACAATTTGAGTTCCATATACTTTTCATGTGACATAAAGTATTATTTTAAAATTTTTAATCAGTTTAAAATGTAAAAATCATTATTAGTTCCCAAACAGAACCAAAAAAGGGACTGGGACACATTTACATGTCAGGGCATAATTTGCCAATTTCATTTCTATTGTAATACTATTTTGCTTCTGTTAAAAGCATAATAAAAAAGGAGTAAAGAACAAAGAAAGAGAAGGCTTCCATACAGAAGACAAAAGATACAATATGCAATTCATTTTAGAAGCTTCAGGAGTTGACCTCAAGAAATAAAGATACTAACATGGAAATTTCAGATTTTTTTTAATCTCTCAATATATTCTGTAGCAATGATATTTAATTGTAATTTTTTTTAATTTTTCCAAGTATTTCAAATATGTTGCTACATCTGATCTCCAAATTATCAATGTAAGACAAAGAGCGCATACATTACTTTCCTGTTTGTGCAATTTAGAAAACTGAAGCTCATATCTTAACACTTCCATAATTATAGGACTGGTAAATAGGAGAGAACATCGCATAGTTATGTTGATACTTACAGGTGTTATTGATTCTAGTGAAATATATTCTAGTCTAAGTAGTTAACTATAACTACAAAGGGAGAAGACCCATTCTACTTTGTAAGAGCTCCTGTGATATCAATAATCATAGGAAAGGCATTATGAATAGTGCTGCTATTCTACTCCATCACGGTGGCATTGTACATATACAGGAAGATAATATGTAGGTCCTATTTTTTTAATAGAAATAAAATTATTTTTATTTTCTCTGACCCACTATTTATTCCTCATCCTGATTAAAAATAAACTCTCACTTCACTTATGGTTTTTTTTTTGTTGTTTTGTTTTATAATCACTCCTTTCCCCTAGTATATACCTTCTCTGACCTAAGGAAGCTCAGATACGTGACCCCACTAATTAAATTCTAACTTGATTTCTTATATCTTCTTGATATATCTTTCTAATCCAGTATCTTCTCAGAAAAAAAAATTGGAAGGGTATTTTGAAGGTTGTGGCTAAAGGCAAAAGAAAGAAAAAAGTATGGGTGCCCATCAGACATTTCAAAGATATTTCTTTACTTGCCCATGAGTATATATTTAGGAATTGATTATATTTAAATATGAATTTACATCCAAATATATCATCAAATAATCTACCCTGCCAAAATAGTAAGTTGCAAATAGTGTGGTCCTGGAAAACTTGAACACGGCCACAAGCTTTCTGTAAATGATGGGAATTATACATTGAAAACACAAACCAGCAAAATATTAATTTTCCATTTGTAGATATATGAATGACTGACTTGCTCATTGAATTTAGAGATGCTAGAAGTGATATTTTTTTCAACATTCTAAAAAATAAAAGCTGACTCTCCAACAATCAGCCAAACAGGCAACTAGTTAAAATTAAAAGACTAGATACGTGAGAAATCCATTGCTTTATGTAGGTTTTGATTTTCCTTAGACCATGACCCAACTTGCATTAACAGCTATCATGGAATACCAAAAAGAGGGTGTGTTGGTGGTTTGTATATGAGGTTTGGCACCTATTCATGGAGATAATTGTTTAGACCAAATAACTAATTGTCCCTTTAACAACAAGCTGCTATCTACTTGTCAGTCCAATTTTTTGATATATATTCTCAACCTCAACACTAATTCCATATATTTAAATAAAATTTTTTCTCTCTCAGTGCTATTTCCAAAATTCTGAAGAGTATTTTTTAAGAATATTCAGACCCAAATACAGTAATAACACTTTCCCCATATTCAGCCTATTTTTTAAAAATTCAAGGTAATTCCTGTACTTTTATGATGCTCAATTAGACTTTAATAAATTGTCCCAGGAGAGAAATTATGTGTGTGAGTGTGTGTGTGTGTGTGTGTGTGTGTCTGTGTGTGTGTGTGGTATGTTTAGTAGGGACAGTGGAAATCCAATTCAGTTTACATCTTAGAGATATACATATACTGTATGAAAACACAGAAACAAGCGTCATGAAATATTCACAATAAACTCAATTCTTATAAACCAAAATAAGAGAAAAAAAAAAGAATAGGGAAAATGGCTCTCCACTTTCTCAGTTAACTTGTTCTCACTCCACATTCCCTCTACACAAACCCAAAACTGTCTACCCATAACATAATACTTAGTGTACATTTTATTTGTGAAAAAAAAAGAATCGACAGATTATATGTTCTTGTTTTAGAACTGGAAGAGTAAAATACATGTCTTTGAGAGTTTCTTAAAATTTTATGCAAAGTCAAAACTTAATATACATATAATAGACAACATAAGCCAACCAGTGGGCTAGGAAAATATTAAGCAATTCATTTCTTCTTTACATTTTATGACAAATCTCTTACTATCCTAATTACTGTTAATTAGGATAGTAGGTCAAAGACAGTATCTCATCAGTGTCATGGAGCTTTAGAATTGCAAATCTCAATTTTAGCTTTGCTTGGTCGCTCCTCAAAATTGTTAACATAATGAAAACAAGAAATAAACTGATGAACACATAAGACATTCTTCAAAGACAGTCCTATATGTGATCAGTTTCTCCAAGGTAGGAAAAATAAATTTTGTAGAGCTCACTAAAGTTTACCTGGAACACATTTTCATAGTTGTGTCTGGGTGATCCAATCCGGTTTTGAATCTCACATCTGTTATTTTAAACCAGATGACCTTAAACATGCTATTGAACTTATTTTATTAATAGAATCAGAAGCTCAGTGAAGTTACATGTAATTAATTAGATTGCAAGTTTACAGATTTGATGTCCAATGTGTTCTTGACTGTTTTTCAGCTGCAAAAACCAATTGAGTATAATGCATTATGATTTAAACATCTACTACTATCTTTTTTTTTCTCAGGAGCAGAACATCTAAAAGTGTAAAAAACACTTTGTAATTGTTTTGTAATAAAACAACCATAAAATCTTCTTGGACTTAGAGTTAGAACATAAACAGTAACGAAAGGGAATATAAAAATTGAGATTGAAAATGTAGTTAGGGCCACACACATTGTAACAGAATGCTCTGGTCAAAGTAATACGTGTAACTGATAATTATGTATAATTACCGTGTATTAATTTTAAAAAGACACTGTGAGTGATGGATAGGTTAATTAGCTTGATTGTGGTAATCATTTCAAAGTGTATATATATATCAAAACATCAGGTTATATAACACATATTTATAAATTTTGTCAAGTATACCTGAGTGGTTCAATACTTCAGTGGAGCTAGTAACTGCAGATGTGAGAGAAATAGCAAGATAGCTAGGGGTAGAGCCTGAAGATGTTGCTGAACTGCAGCAAGCTAATGACAAGACTTGAATGAATGAGGAGTCACTTCTTATGAATGAACAAAAAATTGGTGTCTTGAAATGGAATCTACTCCTGACAAAGATGCTGCAAACATTGTTGAAATAAAAACAGAGGGTTTAGAATATTACATAAATTTAGTTAATAAAGCAGCAGCAGGGTTTGAGAAGGAAGTCCATTTTGAAGGAAGTTTTACTGTGAGTAAAATAGTATCAAACAGCCTTGCATGCTACAGATAAATCTTTCATAAAAGAAAGACTAAATTAATGCATCAAACTTCACTGTTGTCTTATTTTAAGAAATTGTCACAGCCACCCTAACCTTTAGCACTAACCTGATCAGTCAGCAGTTATCGTTGAAGCAAGACCCTCTATCAGCAAAAAGTTTACAACTCACTCAGATGACTGTTAGCAGTTTTAGCAGTAAAGTACTTTTAATGTAGGTATGCAAATTGTTTTCTTAGACATAATGCGATTGCACAGTTCATGGACTACAGTATGGTATAAACATAACACTTATATGCACTAAGAAACCAGAAAAAAAAGTGTGACTACTTTCACCATGATACTCACTTTATTGTTGTGGTTTGAACTGAATCAGCAATATTGCTGAGGTATGTCAGTAGTTTTCATGGGCCAAGTCCATGGACCTCTAAGATCACTGCTTTTATTTGGATTGACTTTACATTGCTTTTGCTAACCAATACCCGCTTATAAAAATCACATATCACTGCCTGAAAAAAAAAAATCCTGAAAAAAAAAATCCAGCCTGCCTGTATATTGAGTCTAACTCCAGGTTAATAAACTGTCTGTTATTTTTCTGTCCTGGCTATATGCAAAGGCTTTATCTAGCAGGCCTCATGGAAGAAAGTTACCCTTCTCACATTAGACTTGGTGTATAGCCAATGCATGGCAGTCTTGCGGTTTCAAAGGGAAGCTGCATTCAGGGACTCAGGGCCACCTGGCCAATCAATGGTCTTTACATAATCACATTCCTTGCGCTGGCACCTTCATTTCATTCTTTGATCAGCCCTCAAATCCCTCTAACTCACTTCTTATCCTCTTGCATATTTCCCTTTTAAGCTCTTCTGCCCTCTGACTTTACAATTATTTCTGCAATTCCCATACCCGCTTCAATAATACGGTGCAAAAAACTTGTCTCCTCAATGATTTTTCTGACTCTGCATAAGCCACACTGTCTCATACTGCCTTGAGCATCAAAGCACAGGCCAACAGTGCAAATGTAAACCTACACATCATAAGTCTAAATATTTAAAAGTTACAAATTAAGCCCTTGTTCCAGCTTCTGTTTCCATGAAGGGCCAGAAATTTCATTGGTAATGGGCGTATAATGATATTGATGCCTCCCCTGTGTCAGCCATACTACCAAGTGTTTCTGTGGATCCCCTCGATAGAGCACGGAAAAGAGTGAATGCAGATCCCAGCTCAGGCAGTGACTGGACCTGCCTAAAACTTAGATGAGAACTGACAGTTCAAGCTACCCATGGCATTAGATCAGTCAAGTGCTTCTCCCTCATATTGCCTTTTTCCAATTCAGAATTTCCAGGCAATTATACATGCTTTCAAAACTATTTCATGTAAGCAGAAAAAGGAAGAAACTACAGTGATCTGGGAAAAGTGATCTGTCTGGGAGAATTTGGAGAGGCAACCAGAGACAAAACCTAGACAGAAGCTGTTAGTCCTCACCTTGCTCTGCACCTTATCTTCTAGCTACCTTGGCTCAGGTTTTCCTCAGTGGTAACTTCATTTTGCTCAGTTGTTACCTTTCAAAAAAATTTCTTAGGAAACTAAAAATGTGTGTTTTAAGATTGGCTGTTTATGTGATATTCAGGACCTGCTGCCCAGGTCTAAGGGTAGCATGGGCCTCCAGTACCCTCCCATGCTAGTGACTTCATTGGTAGCATCCTGTGGGGGTCATGTCTGATAGTCACTGTCTACCAACATAACATGTACATAAGAGTGCCCATATGCAGTATATAAAGTTCAACCTGATTTTCTGTAATAGATGGCCAAAGGTATACCGAATACCATACAAATGGAAAAGTCTAAAAATTCTTATTCTAGCACTTAGTGGAATTGTAAGATGATTAATTTATCTATCACCGTATCTAGGTTTGCAGCTCGTTATGTGTCATGCATCAAAATTTTCTTTCTTAATTAATTATTAGTGCAGTAACCATTTCTAGTATTAATTCCGAACACAGTATGATGGATAATTTTATTTGTCAACTTTACTAAGCCATGAAGTCATCACATATTTAGTGAAACATTATTCTGGATGTTTGCGTGAGGGTGTTGGTAGATGAAATTAACACTCAAGTGATAGAATAAAGCAGATTGCCATCCCTAATGCACGTAAGCATCATCCACTCAATGGAAGGCCTAAAGAGAACAAAACAGCTGACCCACACACCCCCTTCCCACCCCCACCCTACTCCACCCCAAGTAAGAGAGCCTTCTCCTGCCCAATTCCTTTGAACTAAGACATGGGCTTTTATCTTGCCTTTGGACTCAAACAGAAACACTAGCTCTTTCTGGATCTCAAGCCTGCCAGCCCCTGTATGGGAATTACACCATCAGTTCCATAAGTTTTAAGGCCTTTGGGATTGAAATGAAACTATACCACAGGCTCTCCGGGTCTTCAGTTTGCCAACTCAACCTACAGACCTTACGACTTGTCAGTCTCCATAATCATGTGAGCTAATGTTTTACATCAAATAAGAATATATATATATATATCCTATTGTTTCTGTTTTGCTGGGGAACCTTTACTAATACATGCAACATAACTTCCAAATTTCTGAAAAGTTTCTCAAATTACAATGGTTAGCATTCAGCTGTGAGTCCTCATATATCTATCAGTCTACAAACTCACACTTGATTTGATTGTTCTTAGTTGCTGGCATATTCAAATGATTAACAATTCATTTAAAAATGCTCATACCTGTAATCCCAGCACTTTGGGAGGCTGAGGCAGGTAGATCACCTGAGGTCACGAGTTCAAGTTCAGCCTGGCTAACATGGTGAAACCCTATCTCTGCTAAAAATACAAAAATTAGCTGAGCATGATGGCAGGTGCCTGTAATCCCAGCTACTTGGAGGGTCGAGATGGAAGAATCACTTGAACCTGGGAGGCAGAGGTTGCAGTGAGCAGAAATCGCACCATTGCCTTCCAGCCTGGGCAACAGAGCAAGACGACATCTCAAAAAAAAAAAAAGAAAGAAAGAAAGAAAAGAAAAAAAAGAAAGAAAAAAAAGAAAAATGTTTAATTTTTTTCCCCCACAAATGACCCTGATAAAATATATATGGTAGAACGTGTTAAAGGAGACAACATCTAACATATATAGGCAGAAGTTTGGGTATGGGACAATTATGAAGATAATTTTCATTGCCAGGAGCCTGTTGATGAAAAGCCCTATAATTAGATGAAGTACGAGGCACTAAAAGAGAAAGACTATTATGTATAAATTACATGCTAGAACATTGACATGAAAATAATAATTATTAGCATCGTTATTATTATGAGTTACAAATAGTTTACATACTTAATACAACAGTGAATTACACATGATCTTTCAACATAATGCTCATGCCCTAAAGTTAGACACAGCTGTCTGCCACCAACTCAGAATAAAAATGGGATGTGGAAATAGAATGAAACCAACACACAGCAATACAAAAAAATCAGCCATAAAATATTCATTGGCTCTATTCTCAGAAATTTCTGTTCCTCCTCCCTGATTAGAAAATTTTCCTGGCTGGGTGCAATGGTTGACTCCTGTAATCCCAGCACTTTGGGAGACCAAGGCGGAGGATAGCTTGAGTCCAAGAGTTTGAGAACAGCTCGGGCAACATAGTGAGACATCATTTTTACAAAATAAATATTAAATAAATAAATAAATATTAGCTTGGTGTGGTGGTACATGCATGTGGTCCCAAATACATGGGAGGCTGAGGTGCGAAAATTGCTTGAGCTTGGGAGGTTGAGGCTGCAGTGAGCCATGATCATGCCACTGCACTCTAGGCTGGGTGACAGAGGGAGACCCTGTCTCAAAAAAAAAAAAAAAAGAAAGAAAGAAAAAGAAAAAGAAGGAAAGAAAGGAAAGAAGAGGAAGGGAATGTAGAGGAGGAGAGAGGAGAGGAGGGAAGGGAAGGGAAGGAAAAGGAAAGGAACAGAAATGAAAAAATAATTTTCCTAAATATTTGAAATGAATAAAAGCAAAAATGTTATCGGAGCTGACCAGAGAACTTTCGTGCATAGTGTATCCCATAAATGATAATAATAGAGATTATCCTTTTCAAAGTAAGCAGAGGCAGAATTGTTTGTTCTTTTGCCCAATTACTTAGCCTTGATTTAATGTATGGAGATTTGATGGATAGTTTTCTTACTTTCAGATTCAGCAACAACTTCTAAGAGCTCACTCTTAACTACTGCAATTGTTACCAATATCATTTAATTCACAAATTCTTCTCACACTTATTTCCCCCAGTTTCTTTCCTATCCTATCCATAAAATTCAGTTTCTTTACTGTCACCCAGGTTATAATAACTAGTATTATGTGTATGTCTACCCTAATTTGAAATGCTATTGACAACCTCCCAATCATATTTGCCTACACAATGTTAATGCTTCTTGATGGCCCAATTAAGATCTTCAAGAATGTCTCCTGAAGACTACAACTCTTCCTCCAAATTATGATCCTATTAAATAATAATAGTGACACTTTAAAAAACAGAACTGGGCCGGGCGCGGTGACTCACGCCTGTAATCCCAGCTCTTTGGGAGGCCGAGGCGGACGGATCACGAGGTCAGGAGATCGAGACCATCTTGGCTAACACGGTGAAACCTGGTCTCTACTAAAAATAAAAAAAAATTAGCCGGGCATGGTGGCGGGCGCCTGTAGTCCCAGCTACTCGGGAGGCTGAGGCAGGAGAATGGTGTGAACCCAGGAGGCGGAGCTTGCAGTGCGCCGAGATCGCACCACCGCACTCCAGCCTGCGCGACACAGCGAGACTCCGTCTCAAAAAAAAAAAAAAAAAAAAAAAAAAAAAAAAAAAAAAAACATAACTGGCGGGCGCGGTGGCTGACGCCTGTAATCCCAGCACTTTGGGAGGCCGACGCGGGCAGATCACGAGGTCAGGAAATCGAGTCCATCCTGGCTAACAAGGTGAAACCCCGTCTCTACTAAAAATACAAAAAAAAAAATTTAGCCGGGCATGGTGGCGGGCGCCTGCAGTCCAGCTACTCCTGAGGCTGAGGCAGGAGAATGGCGCGAACCCGGGAGGCGGAGCTTGTCTGGGAGACAGAGCAAGACTCCATCTCAAAAAAAAAAAAAAAAAAAAAAAAACAGAACTGTGGGCCTGGGCGCGGTGGCTCATGCCTGTAATCCCAGCACTTTGAAAGGCCGAGGTGGGCAGATTACCTGAGGTCAGGAATTCGAGACCAGCCTGACCAACATGGCGAAACCCCATCTGTGCTAAAAATACAAAAATTAGCCGGGTGTGTTGGTGGGCGCCTGTCATCCCAGCTACTCGGGAGGCTGAGGCTGGAGAATTGCTTGAACCCGGGAGACAGAGGTTAGTTACAGTAAGCCGAGATCAAACCACTGCACTCCAGCCTGGGCTACAGAGCGAGACTCCATTTCAAAATAAATAAACAAAATAAATAAAATAAAATAAAATAAAATAAAATAAAATAAAATAAAATAAAATAAAAACTGAACTGGTGGGAGAGAGAATGGATATAAAATTGAAGTTAGACCTTTGTGTATGTTTATGAGAAATAAAGATTCTAAGCTAAAATACAATACGAACTTGAAAGGGCCTGAGATCTCTTTTTAGAAAGATGGAAATTAAATGGGTATCAGAAAGTTTATGAACTATATTGGTTGGAATTTGGTGTAGAATTGTGGATAAATGGAGCTAAAATTTTATACTTCTGTGTGAGATAATGAGGGTTAAGCTCTTACCACTATTTTCATTTGCTAGTCTAATATTGCTCCATTTAGCTATTCCACAAAAATTGTTTGTATTTACCAAAAGCATTTTCCGTCTAAAGACACAATATTTCCTTAGTGCTATTACATTACCTATTAATCCAGGATGTAGAGTTAACAAGACCATCCTGATTGAGCACCTAACTCCTCCAGTTCTTCAACTGAGTGGAGAATACCACAACAGCTCAAGAACAAGAAAAACACTGAATAGCTCTAAAACCAACTTTATAAGCGTACAAACAAATGTTGGTACATCCATACAGTGAAATACCATTCATTATGAAAAAGAAATGAGGTATCAAACCATGCATATACATGGATAAACCTGCTAAAGCAAGATTAAATGTATACTTTGCTTTTTTACAAATTCTAACACATTAGAATTTATGAAGAGAAATCAAATGTAGTGAAATAAAAAGCATTATATCCTTATCTGCTAAAATAGATGTAAATTCCCAAGAATACTATAATCATGATATAACTGCTGAAATAATTCATAGAAATGAGTAATGATATTGAGAGTGAATGAATGGTAAATAGAAATGTATTTAATCATCTATAAATTAAAACTTAATTACATAATATATGCCAGGAAAGATAATAGGCATTACAACATTGTACTACTTACCTCCCCTCTAATGTCTTATTATCGAATAGTATAGGAGAAAAAATATCTATTTACATGTATATTCATATTATATGATATGGAATAATAATTAGTCATTCAATGATATGAGAACCAAAGTGTAAAACCTAGGACATTCAGGTAACTGAAACTTTTTTAATAGTGAACTATAAGAAGAGAAAAAAATATAATATTTATATGATCACTCTATTACAAATATATTGTGAATAAATAGGACAAGTATAAAAAATATGGAAATTAGCAAATAGCAGGCACAAAACATATTTGTTTTTTTCTTTTTCTTTGAGATGGAGTCTTGCTCTTGTTGCCCAGGCTGGAGTGCAGTGGCGTGATCTCGGCTCACTGCAACCTCTGCCTCCTGGGTTCACGCGATTCTCCTGCCTCAGCTTCCCCAGCAGCTGGGATTACAGGTGCCTGCCACCACGCCGTTAATTTTTGTATTTTTAGTAGAGACGGGGTTTTGCCATGTTGGCCAGGCTGGTCTTGAACTCCTGCCCTCAGGTGATCCACCAGCCTCGGCCTCCCAAAGTGCTGGGATTACAGGCATGAGGCACCGTGCCTGGCCAACAGATTTTTTTTTTTAATTGACAGATAAAAAGACATATTTTAGAGCTCTGTTTTCCAATATGGTATTCACTAGCCATATTTGAAATGTGAGCACTTAAAACATGGATAGTCAAAAATGAACATATTTTAAGTGTAAAATACACATGTGATATGAAAGATTAAGTAGAAAAATGCAAACTATGTCATTAGTAAGTTCAGATCTATTATTTGTTGAAATAATAACATTTTAATATATTTGGTTAAGTAAACTATATTACTGTAATGGATTTTATCTATTTATACTTTTAAAAAATATGGCTATTAGAAATTTTTTAATTATATCTATGTTTCATATTATATTTCTATTGGAATGGCATCATTTTAAGACATCAGAAATATTGGAAAAATATTGAATATTTTCCCACATTGACCAGAAAATTTGCTGCAAACTTATACCATTCTAAGGAGTCAAAATGTAACCTGATAGATAAAAGAGAAGTCTCCAGTAAAGACACCCATTTGCATCTGCTACCAATTTCATCATGCTGTCTCTACTGTTAAATAACAAACTGCCAAAAACTTGGTGGCCTAAAATAATAATAAACAGTTATTTACTTATTATTCTTCAGTCTAGCTGGGTTCAGATAACTGGTTCCGCTGGTTGGTTGTTTAAGGTCTCTCATAAGTTCAACTAGGTTGTTTAAGATCCTTGGAGGTTCAACTAGGGACAAAAAATTCTGAGCACTCCTCCCTCAAATGTTTGGCACCTCAATGTTAGATGTGGACGAGACGCTCTCTTCTTGTGTTCTCTCCAGTAGGGTATCCTAGATATCTTTCTGTGGTGGCTCATAGTGCCAAGACAGTGAAGGAAACCTTTTTGTATGTTTCCTGAGGGTTCCAAAAGAGCAAGGGGTGTTGCCAAGCCATTTAAGGTCAAACCACATCTGAGTTATTTTTCACTTCTGCCGTATCTTACTGGTTTCCAAGAAAATCATGTGGCCATATAAGGGCAGGTGAATAGATCCAATATATATGGGAAGTGTTTTTGACAGTCTTCTCTGGAAATTATTTACCACATCATTAAATTTATTGGACTACAGACATGTCTTATAATTTTTCAAATATTATTATTTTCTAGATATCGATACAATCACACTTATCATGTTTTCTTTGAAAAATATTGCACAGGTCAGGTGTGATATCTCATGCCTATAACCCCAGGATTTTGGAAGGCTGAGGCAGGAGGATAACTTGAGGCCATCGCAGGAGTTCAAGAGCAGCCTGGGCAACATAGCAAGACCCCATCTCTAGGAAATAAAAAAAAAAAAATCAGGTGTAGTGGTGCGTGCCTGCAGTCCCAGATACTTGAGAGACTGAGGCAGGAGAATCACTTGAGTCCAGGGGTTTGAGGCTGCATTGAGCCACGGAGCCATGATCAAGCGGTTGCACTCCAGCCTGGGTGACAAAGCAAAACTCTGTCTCAGAAAAACAATTAAAAGCATAAAAAATAATAAAAGAAAAGAAAAAAATTGTACAATGTTTGCCAAAGTTGTTTACTGAATTTAAATAATGCATCTTATATTTAAACAAATGACTATATGATTCACATTCTAAAAACTTCAAAATAGAGAATAGCATTATACTTAAAAATAAATGTCCTTATTTAATTTCTAAAGATTAAAAGGCTCAACTTCAGAGATACCATGAGCTTGCTAATTTTTTTGCGAAAACAAAGCTATTTATGTGTTTATGGTAATATATATTAATCTACATTATTTTTCATTTATGTTACAAAGCCTTAGAATTGAAAGCTGCCTTTTGTAGAAGTTATTGACTTCAGAAAAGATCATGCTGCATTTTTAAATATCCATCATATTTCTTACACATAATAACCATTTTGAATGAAATGTTTTTGCTCCTACCATTGCAAAAGAAACTTCTCTACTTATTTTATACTGCTGAAATTTCTGATTAAGTAAATAAATCCCTAAAATAATTCACTTTTTTGAAAATTCCCTCTTTTTTTCCAAAGGCATTAGAAGTTAACTTTTGTTGTGAAAACCAATACCTCTGAAAATATTAAAATGGGCCATTCCATACATAAAGGGAAAGATGGTAGTTAAGCCTCTGACAGCATGAAAGAAAAATCCGTTCTGATTTTTATTCAATAGGGAAAGCCTCAGTTCTAAAGGTGAGGAGCACAGAAGACAAAAACGGCAGCCAGTGGCATAGAAGATAAAACCAAGGATGTGCAGTGTACTGAAAGCCAAAAGAGGTAAGTGTTTCAAGTAGGAGTAAATGAACCCTCTCAAATCTCACCAAATGGTCAAGTTTGATGAGAATGGAGAACTGAATTCTATGAGCATTGGTAGAAATAATCAGGCAGAAGCTGGACTGAAATTGGTTCAAGAGAGGCGAGGAGTTGTGATCTGGAGTTGGTTTTAGAAGATGTTTTGTAGAATGGATGAATACACTTAAAGGAAAAATCTGGAGACAAATTGATTTAGAGTGATTTTTATGCTCAAAGCAAGAGTATTAAAGGCTTATTTAAGATCACCTCATGGACAACAGAACATAAGGATAAAGCTTGAGATATTATGAAAATATAACCTACAAAAATACGAAATTAATTGAACAAGAAAGGACAAAGGGAGAACCAACTACAGATAATTACAGATTTTGCACCTGGAGGACTCTGAGAATAGTGGGTAAAGTAGATAAATGGGACACAAATAGAAACTCTGTTTTAGACCTATTGAATAAAAGTAATAATAACAAGCAGGAGATGGATAGTAGAAAACTGAGAATATATATTTTACATGTAAAATGGTACAAACTATGTGCCAGAAAGCTAAGACCCACAGGCCCAATTTGGGCTGGTGCCTGTTTTTATAAAGTTTTATTGAGACCTAGCCACACTCATTCATTTTTGTATTGTCTGCAGCCGATTTCACACTACAGTGGCAGAAGTGAGTAGTTGTTGTATAACCCCAAAAAGCTTAAACTATTTACTATTTGAATCTTTGTGAAAAAGATTACCCAACTCTGGCATAAATAAATTCTCTCTTGAATGTAGCAAGTGACTACTAACATAGTTAATAATTTATTTTAACTAAAATTCTATTAATCACTAAAAGGCGTAATATGATGATGAAAAAAATTTGTTTGTTAGAAAGTGGTCAAACAGCTGAGTTCAAATATGATTACCCTGAAGTCTTTCAAATCTAGTAAAATATCCCACAACTGTTTGAAACATATTATCAATATTTCAAATGGAAAGCTACATATGGAAAGATAGAGTAGATCAATTGAATAATTAACTTGGTTCTGAAACATTCAGACATTGAACATTTTAAGTCTTTACTTGACTTTAAAAAACTTGAGAATTTTAGAACTATCACATATTTCTATTATATTTAAAAGATCGTCAAAATCAGAATAATTTTGAATAGATATAAATGATACTTTAAATTTTAACTAGCAAGGAGTAAAGTTAGTTGCTTCAATTACAATACCCAAAAGTTATAATTAGGTAAAGCTTTAAAATGGCAATGATAATTATGCCTAAAACATTGCTGAAATTGAAGACTACATAAATATTTTTTATAAAAAATATTTTTATAAAAATATTTTTATAAAATATATAAAATAGTTTTATAAAATATATTTTTATATTTTATATATAATATTTATATTTATATAAAAATATTAAAAATATTTTTATAAGTATTATACTGATAAATATTTTTACACACGAAATACATGATCTAGACATTTACTGAAAACTCTTGATCATCACCATTAGTTTGTAATCTTTATTTAGGTTATATATTTTTGGTATTTTATTTTCAATGATTCAAGTTAATTATGTCAATATCCTATAAGCAAATATGCAGACATACAATATTACTGTTTTGCACCAGTGGGTTTTCACGACCTATTTATGTAAGCAATTATCCAAATATATAAGACAATCATTTCCGTTTGATTATTTTTTATACATGTGTATTTCTTGCATTTAGTGAACAAAGAATATCTGTTTTATTTAGGTTGGTGCCTTAATTAGAATGATGTTCCTCTAACTGGAAAGTAAAAGTACAATTTAAACAGAAAATAAGAATGAAACCAAGACAAAAGATTAATTTTGAAGCAGGAATTTATCACAGTTAAACCTAGGAGATAAGACACATGTAATTAGAATCCTCACAATAGAGGCAGAGTGAATAAAAACATTAAAGGCCTTTGCTAAATTAACACTTCATTGTATTAGCATTTTACAAAATCTTTGCCTGCAAAATATTTGACATAAATGGCAATGTCTGACAACATTGAAGAGTTAACTTTCTGTGACAGTGTGTGGATAATATACATAAATAAATTGAGTATTTTAAAGCTACATTTGTAGAGTGAGAACGATGATATCGTTAAATTTCACTGAAGTCCTTCAAAGGAAAAGATGAGAATCTTCACTCTAGGTATAAATTACATTGGTCCACAATCCTTAAAATTGACACACCAAGAAAGTTACCAAACCATTCAGACACACCCTATTAGCTAGAGAAATCTCTGATGTTTCATGGAAATTTATTCCTGAGTCATGAAAAATTCCTCAGTATATTGCAAAATCTATTATAGAATTTGTGTCTTTGAAGGATTTTTTACTGCCACTCATGGACCCTCTACCCAAAGGCTAGTCCTTCACCTAACACTGCATTGGACAATAAATTACATATTTTCAGTATAGTCTTATCTGTATGTTTAATTTGAACAAGCATTTGGTTATTACTATAATATTTCATATTTAAGAGAAAATGTCAAGGATGATATTTTAACTCATCAAGAAAACCACACCATTACTTTGGAATTTTTTTCTTTTGTATCAACATAATAATAAAATATATAACATGACATTTAATTATGCCAGATACTTTAAACATTAATTTTCATGTGTTTTTTTAAATTAGTGTACCGTGCCGTGTATTTTAGACCTTTTTTTTCAACTTTATACTGTATTAGCTTTAAATGTCTTGCTGAAATGAATCATATTTAGCACTGGGTTTGAAAGTTCCTTGACAGTTTGATTTATAGTGCATATTCCTTCTACATACCTCAGATGCACAGCAGTATGACAAACACGGGGCTTACTAAGGGAGACATTTCTCTCATGTTTCAGCAAAACTACTCTGTTTCTGAATAAGCTCGTTTCATTGGATGCTCAAAAGTTTTATTTTATCATCCCAACCTTGGAAAATATTGTTGATGGAAAACGCTTCTATCGCTATACTATATTTCTTAATACAATCGCCCACCATTTTCTTTTCTGTATTTTAAATTTGAGTCACCTCAAGGTTAACTTTTTGTTAACTCTTTTTCTCCAAGTCTTATCTAATACAATTATAGTGATGAGCTTTTAGAAAAAAAAGGCATTTTCTATCTGCTAATAGAGGAAGCGTCTGGATGATAAAAGATGATAAAGAGACAAAAATGTTCTCCTTTTAACCTATAAAAAGCACCCAGTATGCTGAATAAACAGTACTTGCATAACGTTATTTCTGAAAAAGGACTATCATAAAACCTCTAGACTTTATAGATTATTGCGATTTACTGATTTGTTTTTAAGTTCTGTAGTCCCTCGTTGGTGGCCCTGCTCTCAGAAACCAAAGAGGTACCTCTGCCCATGGGAACCCAGCCGGAGCCAGATCCTGATCCACTTTGAGGATCGTTCTTATCTCTCTTGAAGGATACATGTTCATAGGGGGTGGCTTAATCAGCCCATTTCCTGGCTGTGGAAACACAGATTTCCAGAGCACATTTTCTCTCTCTTTTTTTTATTTCATTATTATTTTTATTATTATTATTATTATTTGCAATATGGATAGTCTAAGTATTTATCAAGTTCTGGTTCTTTTTTGCTTAAAAAAGAAAACCAGATTTTATTTCTTTCCTCTCTCATTTTACTATGAGCAGCAAAGAGAAACTAGCTCATCAATTTACAAGTTCTACTTTTCATAAAATAGCCAAGTTCTCACCACTTTATAACAAGATTATCTTTTTCCACCAGTTTCCCATACATGTTCCTCGTTCCTGTCTGAGACCTCAGCAGATATCTCTTTAACACTCATATTTCTAGCAACAGTCTCTTCAAAGCAATCTGGGTTTTTCCTATTATGTACCACAAAGCTCTCCCAGCCTACAATATTACCCCATCCCAAAACCACTTTCACATTTTTAGGAATTTGTTATAGAAGCACCACACTTCTTGGTACCAAAATCTGTATTAACTGGCTAGGCCTGAAGTAACAAAGTACCACGAACCAGGAAGCTTAAACAACCAAAATGTATTTTCTCACTGTTCTGGAGGCTAGAAGTCCAAAATCAAGGTGTCCGAAAGGCCATGCTCCCTCTAAAACACCAGAGAATGATCAGTTCTAGCTATTTCTTCTAGCTTCTGGTGGTTCCTTGGTTTGTGACAGCATAACTCTAATCTTCATTTGATATTCTCCCTGTGTACGTGTCTGTTCCAAATTTCCTCCTTCTATAAGAGCAACAGTCATATTGGATTAGGGAACAACTCTACACCAGTATGACCTCATCTTTACTAATTACAGTTGACCCTTGAACCATGCAGGATTGAACTGCGCAGGTCCACTTATATGTGTATTTTCTTCTGCCTCTGCCACATTTGAGAGAACAAGACCAAGCCCTCCTATCCTTCCTCCTTCTCAAACTACTCAATGTGAAGTCAATGAGGATGAAGACCTTAATGAACAGTAAATATGTTTTCTCTTCCACAATTTTCTCTTGGTTCCATTATTGTAGGAATATAGTAAATAATACATATACAAAATATGTGTTAGGCATGTTATTGGTAAGTCTTCTGGTCAACAGTAGGTTATTAGTTAAGTTTTGAGAGAGTCAAAATTATATATAGATTTTCAACTGTGTGGAGGGCCAGTACCCCTAACACCCATATTGTTTAAAGAACAACTGTATGTCCGCAATAATCTATTTCCAAATAAGATCACATTCTCAAGTACTGGAGATTAGGACTTCAATATATGAATTGGAGAGGGTGGCAACATTCAACTGATAACATGCTATGTTTTAGATAAGTAACAATTACCTGGTAAAAAGCATATCATTATACAAATACTCACTAAACAGTTATAATTCCTATTTTCTATGTTTCCATGATATTTTCTCCTGGAGACTATTTCTTTTGTTTTGACATAAATATTGTATAATGAGAGCTGGAAAGAAGCAAAATGTTTTAAGGCTATGCTTGTATTAATTCTCTTTGACTAAAGTAACAAATAACAAATTATAGTAGTTTGTATGCTTAAAGATTCTGATTGAACATTATCGATTTCTTGGAAACCACAGGTTAGTTTCACAAAGTGTGGCAAGCCTAAGAGGTTCATTTTAAATTAAATTACAACTTCTTTCAGGTTATTGGCAGTATGTCTTCAGATTTTACTTTCAATGTGTAATTATATGCATAAAAACTAACATGCAACCATATTAGAAAATAAAGAAACATGACAAAGTACAGTGCTCTATAATAGGGTTTTCATTACATTAACAGAGTAAATATATAGCTGTTTGTTTATCATAGGCAGACAGTGATGTTTAAATTTACTGACTGATAAAGATTATTTTTGTTATGGAAATCTCGTGTAATTGTCCCTTATCAGTTTTGTTATATATCCTTGAGTAAATATAATTTGCCTACTAAGATTGTAGAGATGAATTACTTTTCTTTAATGCTATTTGATCCACTGCAAATAACTTAATCAGGTAATCTTTTATCCATGTGAGAGGATTTGCACTGATTTGAACTCAATGCTTACATGGATGCAAGAAAGACACAAAAATAAGTTGTTTTAATGGTTTCCATTTTCCATATTATTTTCATAGAAAGTATGATAAATTGGGCCCAAGATAAGTGACTTTGCATGTTTATAGTATATTAAACATTTCCTTTAACCTAATCTTAGGTTGTTACTCTTGTTCCTAAGAAGAACTGCAAATTTCAGAAAATATAATAAAGACATAGGTAAAATTTCATGTATTTATTTACCTGAGTAACACTTACTATAATTTAGATATATGACAATGTTTACATATATACATATATTTATTTATTTATCTTAGGAATTTAAAAAATATGGACTGCAGAAATATTTCCAAACTTTTTGAGTTGTAAAATTTAAGAAAAAATAAATAAAAGGAAATATACCTTGTAAATCACTGGAGAAATCTGTGAGTCGAAATAATAACTGAAATAAAATTTAAAAGTTAAAGATAGTTGTTCTGTGGTAGTAGAATATAGATTATACTTACAGTTTGTTTCTAATATCTGTATTTTCTCTGATGACCACTGTTATTTGGTAACCTAAAAGGAATCATAAACAATTTTAAATTATTTGAGAAGCAAAATCAGTAAGTGACAATAAAGTAAGAAGAATCAAAGAATATTGATGTGAAAAGGTTTGCATTTTAGAAAAACACTATAATATTTTATTCTATCCTGGGGTTTAAATATTGCTTCCTTATGGAGAAAAAATAACAAGAATGTATCGAAAATGAAAAGAGAAATTTTAGTACTCTATTATATTCTAAAGTATATTTAAAAAATGGGAAAAATTTGCCATAATATCAGCTCTAATGAATTTATTTTGCTTTTTTGTCAATTCCAAATGCATTTACAAAATACCCCCATGATGTTTTAATTTGGTTATTTGTTTTAGGCTCTTAACAAACAATTTCTAAAATCTATGCCAAAAAATAAACACAAAGGAATAGCTGTGTGAATTTTCAGAAACAAGGCAAAGAAAAAAGATTTGAACATACCAGATATTGTGACATTCAAAGAGTCATTGCTATGAAAACAGTTCAGTCTTGGCTTAGATATAAATAAGCTCCTGAACAAAATAGAGAGCTCAAGAAAAAATACATAAATGGAAAAATTAGAAAAATGAATGAGATATAAGACGTAAATTAGTAGCATTGAGAAAACCATCTCAAACATGGCCAAAGATAAGGCAAGATCCTGCTTTTGCCACACATCCAAGTGAGCCATAAGTTAATTAAAGACCAAATGTAAAAGAATATAATATAAACTTAATAGGCAATAATGTAAAAATATATTTTCATCAGAACAAATTTTTTTTCCAAAGTACGAAAGATGAGTGATTTTTTTAGATTTGGTTACCTCAAAATGAAGGATTAAATTAACGAAAAGATGATGTAGACTGGGTAATAAATTAAAAAAAAATTTGCCACATCTTAAAACACCAAAAATTTACTTCTATAGTATAAAAAGAAATCTACAAAGCAAGAAAAAAATATATAAATAGAAAGTTTTGCAGAAGAAAATCCCATTAGCTATGTGTATTTAAAGAGATGCTTAAAATCACTAGTAATCCTATAAATGAGAATTAATATAAGTTATATTACTATTCTAAACCCAATGTATTGAAAAGATACAATTATATATAATATAATGAATTAGAAGGGATTTCACGAGAAAGAAACTCCTATTCACTTGTGGTGAGGCTGGAGGTTATTTCAACTATTCTGTACAATTTTCAAGCTCATTTAGTAAACTTGAGTAAAATAAAGTTCTTCAACTAAACATTTATACTATCCTTGGTTTTATATATGCCAGATAATTTTTTAGTAAACTGTATACAAAGTTCCATACAAATATATTGACTTGGCAACTTTCACAGTCTACATATGTATATAGGGAATAGCTAAATAAGATGCTAGGGATTCATGGTAAAGAATACAATGCAGTATTTGTAAACTATGGATTAGTGGATATGACAAAAGCCATAGGTGATAAAACAGTGCTGAAAAAAATTAAGAATTAGGATGAGATGTAAATCAAATATATTTTAAGTAAATTATGTAAAGCCATATAGAGTGACAAAAACCTATATCAAGACATGCTAATGCGGATGCATTTAGGAGAGATTTGTGTGGGAATAAGGGATAAAGAAAGAACCATAAAATAAGAAAGAACCTTGGGTATGCTGCTGCTGATTACACACTATGAAGTGAGCAGTCTGATTAACTCTCTTTCCTGCACCTGAAAATCCACCAATACATTTTATTCATTCATTCATTCATTCATTTATTAAATCAGAAAGACCACCTTGTCAGTGGGATTTTGCAGTTCAATTTTAAAATAAAGAAATAAAATAAATCAGGACTTACACAAGACACTTATGCAAAAGGATTATTGCAAGGAAGAATAGGGACTTCACAGTCGGGAGAAAGCTGTAACCCTCAGATCCACACGTGCAATCTCGGTATCTGCAGGTTCCATATCCGCAGATTCAACCAACCGTGGATCAAAAATAAATAATAAATAAATAAGTAAATAGAAACAATACAACAATAAAAGAGATTCTTTAAAGTTTATGGGAGAATGAACATAAGTTATATACAAATACTATACCATTTTATATCAGAGACTCGAACATCCGTGGATTTTGGTATTTGCAGGGGGTCCTGAAACCAATCCCCAACAGATACTGAGGGACAAATGTTTCACAAATGTCAAAGAGGCGATTGTTTTTGTTGTTTGTTTTTGTTTTCATTTTTTAAAGAGGGGAGTAAATAAGACTAGGAACATCCCAATGTGGGGAGTAGATCAGTTTGGCCCAGTAAATCAGAGAATGTCAATGGAAGCCAGCCTATCTCAGAAGAAGTTGGCAGTCTGACTCAGGCTGAGAGTCGGCCACGGTGCAAGGTCCTGGAGGAAGGAAAGAATCTTAATCAAAGTTTAGTTGACAAACATTTTGTTCACATTGATCAGCAAGGACAAACAGTTTAGCTATCATTTATGAGACAAATAATGAGAATTTGGAGGATCTGTGTCTGGCATTGTCATAAATAAACAAGTGAGGCATCCATGAGTCTTATCTAAGTCACATGGGAAAGTGTGGTCCTCTGCAGTAGCCATTTTAGGAGACACAAAGGATTGGGGTATTTTTTAGCCTTCACAGTTTTACAGGAGTACAGGGCTCATGTAAAATTTAACGTTGTCACTAAAGATATTCACCTTCATAATCTCCAAAAATTGTCTGTCTTGCCTTGCTGCAATTTCTCTCTCTCTTCCTAACTACAGACCCATTACATAATCTATCCCATTATTTATACTTTTAGAAAAGACAGGGAAAGAAATTAGCATTAGGCTGCTTCTAATGTTTACCTTTAAAAAGTCCTTGAATCGAAAAATTGTACAATCTGTCTACATTTTAGAAATCAGAGGAATATATTTACAGATATACTCAATGTAATATTTGTCTTGCATCACAAATATATCATTCATCACAACTTTCTAACTCACCAACCGGTTTACTCAAGTATTCCTACCAAAGCAAGTCTGAGATCATATCGTGCCAACATTTATTATATGTATAATATTTTCATTGTGCAATAGTCTCTTGTGGCTCACTTCTCTATTGGTCAAGCTGTAATCCAGAGATCTTCCTTTAGACTTAAATTACTAAAAAGAAGGCCCAATCCTTTCACTCAGGCAAAAGCCCAAGTCTGCATAAAACTTTAGTCCATGATTTCCATATCGACATCCAAATAGCTGAAGAATAGTAGAGACATTCACATAAATTTGCTTTAAACGTGTGATGATAAATCCCACCCAACCACTCAACATTGATAGATTAATTTTTCTATTTTTACAAGGGTTATTTAAAATTTTCTTTGTGCTCTTTAAAACTTCTGTATCTTCTTACAAACACATTTTTATGGTAATTTATAGGCTCATACTTCACAGATAAAATAGATTTAATCAGAATAAAATACATTTATCTTCCCTTCAATTAATCTGTAAATACATCTATTATCAAATCTATTTTCAGTATTATTTCTGCTTTACAACTCATTGTAAAACAGACCAGACCCCTTCTCAAATCAAAGTCTCTCCACTTCCCGTGCAGGTTTGACTAGCTCATTCATACTCCTCCCCACAATTCCAGAAGCATACAACCATGACCTAATGTTTTCTTTCTGTAAGAGTCTCTTTTTTCCATATATCTTTCAGAAATTTCACATCCTACTTGATTCTCTTGCCATTGAAATCTTCTCAGAAACTGTATATAAAATGTCTCCATTTCCTTGACCTCAGTTATTTTTAACTTATGTGAATTTGGTTTTATTTCCCACCATTCCAGTGAAATTATTTTGCCAAAGCCACCAAAACACTACATTTTGAAATGTAATTTGCCTACTTCTATCTACATCTTTCTCGATTTATCCATATGGTTTAACACAATTGAATTGATTTGCCTTGTTATAACACTTGTGATATGATCCACTCCTAAATTCCTTCCTATCCCAGTGGATGTTTCATTTCAGTCTACTTCGCTGAGTCCTTCTCTCCTCAATAACAGATGTGAAACTTCATCAGAACTTGGTCATGTCTCTCTTTGATTCATCCTTTCTCCCTAAATTCCGGGGAATTAAATAGAATAGAATCATAAAAACTCAGGAACTTATCTTCCCAGCTATCTTTCAATTAAGCATAAGGAATCTAGTGTCATGTTCCTTATTTTTCTCTTGTAGTTAATTTGGTACTTTTTTTCTGTAAACCTTTAGGATTTTCTTTTTCTGTGAAGTGTCAACATATTCTGCCTAGCTTTATATCTTTTTTTTAATTTATTCTCCTCAGAATTCACTTGGGGATTGTCAGGTGAAGATTTATGATCTTCTTCAGCACAATTTTCCCCTTTATTAAGTATTTTATTGTTTTTCTTTACTTCATTCCCTCTGCCTCCTTCTGAATTTCTCGAAAAGTACAGTAGAGCTATCAAAAAATATCCTTTATCTCATTCACATATGTTCAGTTCAATACATCTTTTTGTCTGCCTCTCTTGCCATGGGATCTAGGAGAATGCTGTAGATCACTAATTTGCTCTTGAGGTGAAAACATTAAGCTAATAATTCCATCTTTTTTAAAGAATATATTTTTAAATATCAAATATCTCTAGTAATCCCATTCACTTTATGGTCTGTCTTTGGTTAATGGTTTCCTATCCATCCCTATGAATTTTCTAGCAATATTTGATATAATATACTTTTGAAATATTTTATGTGCATTACTTTAATTCCACTTCCTAAATTAGCAATTATTCTTTTTGTTTAGTGTTCTTTTATCTCCTGAAACAATATTTGGTAATTCTCAGTTGCCTGCTTGTTTTGTATTTTTTATTCCCTCCTAATCTCTTGGTAAATGCTAGCTCTCATTATAGCAGCTTTTTGAGTGAGTTACATGGTTAATTAAACATGTGGCTGTAGTGGAATGAGGATGAGGTAGCTTGTTTGCTTTTGCCACTCCTCCATGTCTTTCCTGGTGTTCACTTCTTTATCTTCCTTTCATAATACCAAATAAAAATGGTAATATTAGCCCACACATTGATTCTCACCAATGTTGAAGGTAAATTTCTCAAAAAATTGCCAGATTGTTGAATGTTGAAGGTAAAGTCTGTCAACAAACTAACCTGCCTCAAATGCAAATTCCTCATTGCACCTTTCATAGTCAATTACCCCTGAGCTTTACATCACTCTGGTATTTAGTTATTTGGAGTTTGGAGAACTGGAATTCTATCCTCTTTGAAAATAATGCTCATATATTGTATTCATTTCTACTAATCTTGTTTTTCCTTCAATCTAGAAACATCTGCTTCCTGATTTTTAGTAATTTTACATACTCCTGATTTGTACTTCCTTATATTGGACAGTTGTGGAGCATGTTGGGGACCAAGAGGGGAGGAAGTTGGTTCAAAAACTGGTAAGTACCAGTATGTCTTTTTTTATCCACAGAATTGTCAATGATTGGAGCCAAGGGAGGATGTAGATATACATGCCCAGTACATCATCTTAACCCAAATTATGACATTTATTTTTCCTGGTACCATTCAGAAACATTATATGATTACATCATGGAATGAACAGATTCACATGAAGTATGGCACAGCCTGAGAAACAAAAAACAAATATGTGCCAGGATGGCTCGTTCATTGCACGTCAAGGAGTATTATTCTAGTGACCAATGCAGGCATAACATTGCCCTCAGCTTGACAAAACTATAGACAAGCTTCCCATTGCCTCTAGATCCCTGACCTCCCTCTTACCCTGTTCCTTACAGAATTCAGATTTTCTAACCACGGAGATCTCTCCTCTACATTTTCTTAGCTTATTTACCTTAGAAAATTTTTGATTGTAGATTCCTTCTCTGCCCCATTAAGTTGTAAATCGTTTTATAAGCCTCTCATAAGTTTTAAAACTTATGACTGTCTTTCTCAAAGATCTGGGAGCCATCCTTTTGAAATGTAATCAAGGAATATAGCATTCCGCCTCTTCTCTGTGGGAGGGTAGGAGCTTAACTTTGGTAGGCACCATCTTCAAGTTGTAAAACTATCTCCTGTCATGAAGATACAAGAAAATTTCCTTTTCCTTTGGGTGAGGTCAATTCTCACAGATGGCTTAAGACTCCCCACTCTCCAAGCGCTTAAAACGCCTTCCCAACCTTTGTTTAAGTGGAGTAGAGTTTGCAGCACTTCTTCCTAATCTCTTTAAGTTTATCCAGTGCAACTTTTGCTTTGGCATCAGTTCAAATTAAATCATTAATTCATCAATATTGGGAGAGAAAAATGCTTAAAGCAATTAAAGTAAAAAACATACCCATCAGAAATCTCTTTCTTCCTTGACTACATTGGCTACTCCTTAAAGTACATGACTAAATTTAAAAAGATCTGCTTTTTTAAATGATGCAGAGCATACAATTGGGAAAATGTACATACAAACTATGTGGAAACTCATTCTCTTTCTGCCAAATATCTGTTTTCTATTTTTCTGGACAATGACCCTCCATCCATTCTAATGTCTGTGTAAGAAAATACACACAAATAATTGGCAATGTCAGCTCTTTGCCTTTGGTAATATAGGGCATTCTCAATGTTTTCAGAAATAATTTGGTTATTTTGGGATTGATGTAACTCTACATGAACTTTTCTTATCACGATATGTTTTCATGAATAAGAGGTATGTTTTGCATAAAAATAAATTTTTTCTTATTACATTTATTTCTGAACTATTGTGTTTTGTTTTTCATGAATCTGGTAGTAATGGTTGACCCCAAAATGAGATGGAAAATATGAATTATTAATTAAGTTTTCAAGTCTGTGCTTTTATTTCTATGATTAAAAGGTTATAATCAAGGCTGACTTTGGTGGCTCACACCTGTAATCCCAGCACTTTGGGAAGCAAAGGCAGGTGGATTATTTGAAGTCAAGAGTTTGAGAACAGTCTGGTCAACATGGCGATAGCCCATCTCTTCTAAAAAGATACAAAAATTAGCCAGGTGTGGTGGTGGGCGCCTGTAGTCCCAAGTACTCGGGAGGCTGAGACAGGAGAATCACTTGAACCTGGAAGGCAGAGGTTGCCGTGAGCCGAGTTTGAGCCACTGCACTCCAGCCTGGGAGACAGAGTGAGACTCAGTCTAAAAACAAAACAAAACAGAACAAACAACAACAGCAGCAGCAGCAAAATAATAATAATAATCAAGCATTATCTATGTTTGAGGTCATTTTAGTTGATCTCATGATATGTATACATGTAAATGTATGGCTCCTAATTTATTTTCTACAATGAAAGTTGGTAATGAACACATGTAACTGTAGCATAACATGCATAGTAAGAAGACAAAATGTTTGTGACATAAGTAGTATTTGATAAGACTTAAAAGTAATACTTTAGAGTACTTTAGGATAATACTCCATAGGAGTTCTGTTACAAAGTTATGAGGTGTTCACTTAAAGAGGCTTTATACATTTAGCATTACTTAAGATAAATCTTTGTGTGGGGGTATTATTTGACTTATACACGTGATACACTGATGATAATAGAAGAAATGTGAGCAATATAGGGCACTACAGGAAAGTGGTGGGAAAGAAATTACATCCAAAAGACTGCTTCAAAACTCATCTTTGATCCTACCCAACATTAATTTAAGGATACTATTTTTCTCTGAATATCACTTTCTTCATCTGATAATGATAACATTCATTTCTCAGAATTAGTTGAAGAACAAAAAAATGAATTTTGAAATTTTGTAACTAGCAAATTAATTAGCATGGAAGCTACACAAGTAGAAGCTCAATACATATTAGTTCACTCTCTACTAATTCCAATAGATGACATATGAAAAGAATGACATATCAGGATAATAATGGTCAGTAATGCAGTATATCTAGAAGATAGGTTATATCACTAAGTAGATGTAGATGGCAAAATTAGGCTACTTTCGAAAGCTTATAAGACCAAGAAAATATATTTGAATGTTTTCATACAGAAAATGGATAGCAATGATTTTTTTCATATTTGTTGCCTTTCTTCAGATTTATATTACAAAAAGAGTATTACTGTACCAGTAATAAATATATAGGCATATTATGTATATATTTATTTATATAACATTTATGAAAAAATAGTCAGCCAGACCAAAGCAAATATTTTAGTGTAATTTATACCATGAATCAACTGGAATGATTTCAAAACTGATTTTAGGACAATAAACTGAACCTAGCTACATTTATATATTATTAGTAATATTATAAGCATGGTGCAAACTCAAAAAGGTAAAGTCATTTTTCTTTCGACGATATCAAAAGTTTCCCCTCTCCAAAACTGAGCATCTATGGTACTACCTGATTTCTTTGGCATTTGTTCACACTCTTAAATTATTTGAAATAATCACTTTATAATAATTCTGAGGAAGATGATAGTTTACTTAAAATACATATTATATGTATTTAGCCCGATTAGTATGGCAACATTAGTAAGTGTAACTTATTAACAGATACAAATTTACCAGATTATCTAGATGCTACATTAACCCCATTTGGAATAATAACCATGTTGTGAAGAATTTTCTCTTTCTTGGGCAGTGTGATAAACTCTTTACAACCATGTATAGCTCATTCATTATCAAAAAATCCTGAGATTATAAACCTATCATTGTTTCTATTTTGTAGAGAGGATATTGAGCTTGGTGATATTAAGTACCTTATCTGAGATTACTCAAGTAACAAGTGAAATGAGCCAAAATTCTCCAGAGCTAACACTTATATCCATAGTGTTATAGTAGAGATTATTAGGTCCAAAGTCTTAAGGAGAGGTCAATAATAAGCATTCTTACAGAGCATGTGAAAATAAGCTAGGGCAGGTCATTTTCAGTGATCAGTTGAAATGGGTTCTGGATGGTGACAGAAGAAAGCTTTAATCAAAAACATATTTAGTGGCTAGCTAAAATCACTGATTTTTAAACAATCAATTCTGTTTTTTGTTTGTTTTGTTTGCATTTTTCCAGCATATACTAAGAATATTCATAGAATTGTAGAGTAATAATAATTTAGAGGACATCTAAAATTTCCACAAAATCAACAGTTCAATGCTGCTGGAACAGAAATGGCCACTTCTCAGAATAATTGTCACTTCTTTACTGTTGTAATTTGTGTGTGTGTGTGTGTGTATATATATATATATATATATATATATATATATATATATATTCCTTTAAGGATACAAATATATCTTTTTCCACCTCCCATAAACTTGCACTGTTTTCAACAACTAAGATTCTGGTGAGAACCAATTGCCTTTTCCACATGAAATAATTTTTGATATCATAGAGCTAATACATATTCTGAAAACTTCCATTTTCTAGGATATTAATTTTGTTCGTTATAGTTGAATCTCTAGAACACATCACAATTATCCTTGCTTACCCCTGAATACAATACAGCTTATCATCATACTTCTTAACATGTGTTGTACAGAATTTAAATATATACATAATGAATAATCATATATACATTAAAAGATTTTTGATATATCTCTGGTTCCTTTTCACCAGAAAAATCATAATGTTGGTTATTCATTCATATTGAATTTTAACCTACAATCATCTGTCTGAAGACAGAAGATATGAATTTGCCTTAAAAATATTAACTCAATTTGCATGTAAAATATCAGCTGAAGTACATACTTTAATTGTAATAATTATACTTTTGGCTTTTATTAAAAACATAACAATTAAGAAAAAGTTTCAAGTAATTTGGTCATTTAATAATGGAAGATATTTCAATGTCCCTGGAGTTTGTTTAACAAATTAAAGATTTTAAATCATCAACACTTATTTCAATCATTTTAATTAAAAGCCTATGAAGACTTCCACTTAGGGCAGGACCCACCTAAAGATGCAACTCTACTCTCATGCTAAATTAATATTTTAAGTTTTCTATATGATGACAGGAACCATATAAAATGAAGCTAGTCAAAGAGGTTAATTAGCTGGGACAAGTGCCCAAAAAGTTTCATGTTGTATTATTTCTACTTAGAGATAGGGCACAAAGTTAGTCTTCAAGAGCAATATCAATGACAGTGACAATATGTGAGACAGCAGGCAGTGGTAGGAACATGGCTCATGAGAAATCATGCTCCCAATGAAAAAGAATTTCCATTAAAATGAAAAGAAATGGATCACTGTACTGGCACAATGAAAGAAGGCGGGAAAGCAGGAAGGCTGACAAGAAGAAAGAAGCAAAGAAGGGGGAAGGGAGAAAGGAAAAAAAAGAGGAAAGGGAGGGAAAGTAAGTCTGATATAAATTCAGGAAGTGCATTGCTTGTGTGTTACTCTCTTCTCTACATAGAAGTCAATCAACAGCTTCGGTCTCTGCATGATGGAATCCAAAATGACTCTTTTTACAATGTGAAGTAAGAGGATATCCATTACAAAACCCAACATTAAATTCAATGCTGTTAAAATCATAATAAATTGTGAAAATGAAACCTGATTTCCCAGTGTTCCAGCTCCAGCAGAGAGATAATTTGCCTTGCAAAATGGAGCACGCATTTCACTTTCCTATATTATCATCTCTGCTGTTGTTGGACTGAGCACTTAATTACCTGAATGGACCATATTTTCACCTCCAAGATCCCACACAAGCTATTCCTATTCTTGCAACTCTAATTCCTTTATACTACTCCAGAATACTATTGTTTATTTGAATACTTTTAACTTAAAATAACATTTCCTACTCAGACCTTTAAGGGATGCAGCAGGTATTTCCTCTGTGCTCCCACATTGTTTTGTAATTTTCTCTATGTTAGCACTTATCATACTGAATAATAATGGACTAAGAGATTTGAAGATGGAGATTTGTCGGGTCCAGCTTGAATCCCGAGGGTATGGAGCAATATCTCCTCAAGCCTGACACAATTTACTAAATAAATGAATAACTACAGAAAAAAATGTGCTATTGCTTTCCCATCAACTTAATTACACATTCTAAAGGAGTCTATTTATGAGGAAACTAAGCATGCTATTATTTCATATTGATTGTGAACTAACACTACTAACACATTCTCCTCCTCTTTACACAGACTGCTGCCACACCAATTATCGCCAAAACGCAAATTCTCCTTCAATTGATCCTTAGTAATACATACACACAAGTGTGTGCACACACACAGAGACGCACACACAGACACACACACACACACCCCTTACAATTTACATTCTCGTTTTCCAGATCATGTTGAATCTCTTTCTCAACGTGGTTAAGCTGACATTTACTATTTTCTTTTTTAGCTATTAGGTACTGTTCTTGGTATTGAGAACACACAGGCATTTAAGACTTATTCCAAGCCCTTCTCAGTGGCTTTCTGCCTTATGGAGAAAAGGAAAACAAATAAAAACCAAAACGTAAACCAACTAATACAATGCATTGTAAAATTGTGCTACATTAACATTTTACTTAGGATGCTACAGCAATGCCAAACACTTATAACTAAATTCAACTGGGTTCTTATAAAAATTAAGCCTTGTGAAATGAGTAAAAGTCAACTAGATGAAAGGAAGTTAATAACAGGAAAAAGGAGACCCAGATAGGACAATGGGCGAACATAACATGATCACGGAACTGCCAGTAGTTTTAAATGGTTAGGCTTAAGGATGCCTGTTAAGAAATTCTAAGATTATGAAAATCTGTTGAGATAAATCAAGGAGATAAAATTGTATTCTAAGAATTATTGTAAGCTGCTGGACTTCAAATACAGAGTAACTTCAACGTATTTTTCTGTGAGGTTAACCATGCCACAAAATCTTTAACTTCACTTCCACATTTAATTATTTCCTCTAGTCATCGATAAAAATATAGAATGCTTAAGAGCCAAGGATAGAGCCCTACAACACATCACTAGTGATTTTTATTAATTAACAATTTTTAATTAGGAGTTTTTGCCAGATGTGAATACATTTAACCATATTATTTTCTGCCCAATGCTTCTTCATCTTTCTGTGAAGATATAAGAAGAGATTTTGACAAATGCTTTGTCAAAATACAGACACACCATTGATTGCTGTACCTATACTTACAAATAACTTCATTACTTGGAAGAGAGAGCACTTAACATCTTATAATGGAAATATTTTGTTATTAAACCATGACTTTTTCTCTTTTGTCTCTTAGAACCACATTCTTCTTTTGGGCAACTGCTCCTTCCTGACTCCAAACATATGCCTTTAGAGGGCACTAGCAATTATTTCATTTTACCCTCATAGGTACAAGGAGGGTTTCAAAGAATAATCGTGCAACCCAATCCTTGCCAACCAGAATTCTTCACAAAAATTTTTCAAACTGATCTGAATAAAAGTTCTTTTTGTTTGTCTTAAATGGTACAAATGTAAAGACAGAAGCCTGGTAATTGCCTAAGATTCAGCAACTCACTTGTTGAGAAGTTGGTCTGTAAGGGAAATAGTATAGATTCAAAGACAAAGTTTGAATAGCTATGAGTCTCTGCATGTAGTCATAAGCAGCTAGCCATGGTGCATCCGTGCTGTATGAGTTATTAAATGTTGTTTTAGAATACAGACTAGGTTACATTTATATTATATTGGAATTAGATTAGTGCAAAGTGTAAGCAAAAGAATTCTTACTAATATATAGCACATTGATTGTGATTACATCACAAGTAGCCGCATATGGCCAAAGTCATATATGTGCAACATTTTGTATATTGATTATACCTCAATAAGGAAAACAAATGTGTGTGTGTGTGTGTAGGTGGGTGGGTGGATGTATTAGTCCATTTACACACTGCTGATAAAGACATACCCAAGACTGGGTAATTTACAAAAGAAAGAGTTTTAATTGGACTTACAGTTCTACATGGCTGGGAGGCCTCACAATTATAGTGGAAGGCAAGAAGGAGCAAGTCATATCTTACGTAGACGGCAGCAGGCAAAAAAGAGCTTGTGCAGAGAAACTGAGAATTTGGCAATAGAGATGTGATCAGTGAACTCACGAGGAGGTCTCTCACTTTGCGTGTTCATTTTGTGAGTGTGTGTATGTGTGAGTGTGTGTTGAGGGAGTTGTGTGTTTGTAGTAGGAAGTAATCAGGATTCAGGGGACAAATAAGTCATTTATTAAATACTTTATTTCACATTAGCGAGAACAATAAGGTATCTTCTATTAACAAAATGAAAAGAACCACATTTATCTTCATTAACAAAGATCCAGAAAAATAGAAGTCATCTAGTTCTCTAAAAGCTCAGAAAATATTCCAGTTTGTATATCTTGAAGTTTATAGAATTGCCCGGAAAAACTTAACTGGTTCAAGAATTGTAATCTTACCATACATACCTGAAAAAACAGACAAAATACATGTTTTCAGATATTGGACAACGGACCTTGAAGGACTGGGATACTTGAAAGAAAACAAAGCCCACTTGATCATGGTGGATAAGTTTTTTGATGTGCTGCTGGATTCGGTTTGCCAGTATTTTATTGAGGATTTTTGCATCAATGTTCATCAAGGATATTGGTCTAAAATTCTCTTTTTTGGTTGTGTCTCTGCCCGGCTTTGGTATCAGAATGATGCTGGCCTCATAAAATGAGTTAGGGAGGATTCCCTCTTTTTCTATTGATTGGAATAGTTTCAGAAGGAATGGTACCAGTTCCTCCTTGTACCTCTGGTAGAATTCAGCTGTGAATCCATCTGGTCCTGGACTCTTTTTGGTTGGTAAACTATTGATTATTGCCACAATTTCAGATCCTGTTATTGGTCTATTCAGAGATTCAACTTCTTCCTGGTTTAGTCTTGGGAGAGTGTATGTGTCGAGGAATGTATCCATTTCTTCTAGATTTTCTAGTTTATTTGCGTAGAGGTGTTTGTAGTATTCTCTGATGGTAGTTTGTATTTCTGTGGGATCGGTGGTGATATCCCCTTTATCATTTTTTATTGCGTCTATTTGATTCTTCTCTCTTTTTTTCTCTATTAGTCTTGCTAGCGGTCTATCAATTTTGTTGATCCTTTCAAAAAACCAGCTCCTGGATTCATTAATTTTTTGAAGGGTTTTTTGTGTCTCTATTTCCTTCAGTTCTGCTCTGATTTTAGTTATTTCTTGCCTTCTGCTAGCTTTTGAATGTGTTTGCTCTTGCTTTTCTAGTTCTTTTAATTGTGATGTTAGGGTGTCAATTTTGGATCTTTCCTGCTTTCTCTTGTAGGCATTTAGTGCTATAAATTTCCCTCTACACACTGCTTTGAATGCGTCCCAGAGATTCTGGTATGTGGTGTCTTTGTTCTCGTTGGTTTCAAAGAACATCTTTATTTCTGCCTTCATTTCGTTATGTACCCAGTAGTCATTCAGGAGCAGGTTGTTCAGTTTCCATGTAGTTGAGCGGCTTTGAGTGAGATTCTTAATCCTGAGTTCTAGTTTGATTGCACTGTGGTCTGAGAGATAGTTTGTTATAATTTCTGTTCTTTTACATTTGCTGAGGAGAGCTTTACTTCCAACTATGTGGTCAATTTTGGAATAGGTGTGGTGTGGTGCTGAAAAAAATGTATATTCTGTTGATTTGGGGTGGAGAGTTCTGTAGATGTCTATTAGGTCAAAACCACTATGAGATATCATCTCACACCAGTTAGAATGGCAATCATTAAAAAGTCAGGAAACAACAGGTGCTGGAGAGGATGTGGAGAAATAGGAACACTTTTACACTGTTGGTGGGACTGTAAACTAGTTCAACCATTGTGGAAGTCAGTGTGGCGATTCCTCAGGGATCTAGAACTAGAAATACCATTTGACCCAGCCATCCCATTACTGGGTATATACCCAAAGGACTATAAATCATGCTGCTATAAAGACACATGCACACGTATGTTTATTGCGGCACTATTCACAATAGCAAAGACTTGGAACCAACCCAACTGTCCAACAATGATAGACTGGATTAAGAAAATGTGGCACATATGCACCATGGAATACTATGCAGCCATAAAAAATGATGAGTTCATATCCTTTGTAGGGACATGGATGAAATTGGAAACCATCATTCTCAGTAAACTATCGCAAGAACAAAAAACCAAACACTGCATATTCTCACTCATAGGTGGGAATTGAACAATGAGATCACATGGACACAGGAAGGGGAATATCACACTCTGGGGACTGTGGTGGGGTCGGGGGAGGGGGGAGGGATAGCATTGGGAGATATACCTAATGCTAGATGACACATTAGTGGGTGCAGCGCACCAGCATGGCACATGTATACATATGTAACTAACCTGCACAATGTGCACATGTACCCTAAAACTTAGAGTATAATAAAAAAAAAAAAGAAAAAAAACAAAATGGGGTAAGTCCTACAACTTTCCTAGATTGCTGCAGAAATCAGTCTCTAAGCCCGAGCAAAGGTGTATGAAACTAGTCTAGTGATCTTGCTGAGATGAGGAGACAGACATTAGGGTTTAGAAAGGAAAGGTTAAGATGGCTATTATTTATATAGCAGAATACTGGAGATAAAGAAGCTGCATAAACAAAAACAGATCACGAAAAACTGGCCAGGGAAACCCCCTCTCCAGTCTTTGGTAGAGTACCAATCTCTGCATGCATGGGTAAAATTTCAAGGCCAAAGAAAGCACCACTGGCAAGCAAGTAAACAATTTTTACCAGACAGAAAGCAGAGCTCTCATACTCCATAGGATATTAAGTAGAATCTACAGAACAACTGTGTTTAGTAGTACAGCTATAAAAGCGTAAAAGTAGGGGCTGCTCCATATTTGTCATTACAAAAACTCAGAAGCAAATGAATCCCAAGTAATTTAACTAACAATGTAACATTTTCTCATTAATATTATTCATATACAATAGTAGGTTACTATATGATAAATTAAAAATAAAAATGTTTAAAATATTTTATGAGATTAACAGTAGATTATGTACTACAGAAGAAAAGGTAAGTGAACTTGAAGACATACTAACAGTAACTATCCAAAAGGAAACACAGTAAGGGATAGAGACACTAATAAATTATTAGGTAGATGTTTCTTGCTTTGTTCTTTTTGCTTAGTATTGCCTTAGCTATTTGAGCTCCTTTTTGGCTCCATATGAATTTTAAAGTAGCTTTTTCTAGTTCATTGAAGAATGTTTCTGGTAGTTTGATAGGAATAGTATTGAATCTGTAAAGTTTTAGGCAGTATGGCCATTTTAACAATATTGAATCTTCCAATCCATAAGCATGGGATGTTTTTTCATTTGTTTGTGTCATCTCTGATTTCTTTGAGTAGTGTTTTGTAATTCTCATTGTAGAGATGGTTGCCCTCCCTGGTTTATCATCCACAAAGAGGGATAGCTTGACTTCCTCTCTTCCTATTTGGACGCCTTTATTTTTTTTTTCTTGCCTGATTGCTCTGGCCAGGACTTTCAATACTATGTTGAACAGGAGTGGTGAGAGAGGACATCTTTGTCTTGTGCCAGTTTTCAAAGGGACCATTTCGTATGACAGTGGCCTGTGGGTTTGTCATAGATGGCTCGATTTCTTTTGAGCTATGTTCCTTCAATGCCTAGTTTCTGGAAAGTATTCAACATAAAGGGATATTGAATTGTATTGAAAGCCTTTTCTGCATCTATGAAGATAATCATGTGGTTTTTGTCTTTACCTCTACTTATGTGATGAATTACAATTATTTATTTGCATATGTTGAACCAACCTTGCATCCTATGGGTAAAGCCTACTTGATCACAGTAGATTAGCTTTTGACGTCCTGTTGGATTCAGCTTGCTAGTATTTTGGTTGAGGATTTTTGCATCAGTGTGCTACTTAACTTCAAACTACACTACAGGGCTACAGTATTAAAAACAGCATCGTATTGATACAAAAACAGACACATAGACCAATGAAATAGAATACAAAACCCAGAAATAAGTCCTCAAATCTATGGGCATCTGATCTTTGACAAAACTGAAAAAGAAAAGCAATGGGGAAAAGACTCCTTGGTGCAGGGATAACTGGTTAGCCATATGCAGAACACTGGAACTAGGCCCCTTCTTTTCACCACATAAAAAAATTAACTCAAGATGAATTAAAGACCTAAATTTAAAACCCAAAACTATAAAAACCATGAAAGACAACCTAGGCAATAACATTCTAGACATAGAACTGGGCAAAGATTTCATGATAAAGATGTCAAAAAAGCAATTGCAACAAAGGTAAAAATTTACAAATGAGATCTAATTAAACTAAAGCATTTCTGCACAGCAAAATAAACCATCATCAGAGTGAATAGAAAATTTATAGAATGGGAGCTGGAGGCATTATCTTTTGCAAACTAACACAGGAAAAGAAAAGCAAATGCTGCATGCTCTCACTTATAGGTGGGAGCTAAATGATAAGAACACAAGAACACAAAGAGGGGAACAACAGTTGCTGGGGCCTACCTGAGGTTGAAGAGTGGGAGGAGGGAGAGGATTAGAAAAAAGTAACTATTGAGTACTAGGCTTAGTATCTGGGATGCAAAACAATCTGCACAATATACCCGCATGACAGGAGTTTACCTATATCAGGACTGCACATGTACCTTTGAAACTAAAAGATTTTTAAAAAATCAGCACAGCATCAGTGTATTAGTCCATTTTCATACTGCTATGAAGAAATACGCAAGACTGGGTAATTTAATGGACTCACAGTTTCACATGACTGGGGAGACCACACAATCATGGCAGAAGGCAAAGGAGGGGCAAAGGCACATCTTACATGGTGGCAGGAAATAGAGAGTGTGCAGGGGAACTGCTCTTTTTAAAACCACAAGATCTCATGAGACTTATTCACTATCATGAGAACAGCATGGGAAAAACCTGCCCTCATGATTCAATTACCTTGCAACTGGTCCCTTCCACGACATGTAGGGATTATGGGAGCTACAATTCAAGATGAGATTTGGGTGGGGACACAGCCAAACCATATTATCATGGTGGAAGGGGAAGCAGACAAGTCCTTCTCCACTTGGTGGCAGCAAGGAGATGTGCAGACCAAAGTGCGGGGGAAAACCCCTTATAAAAACATCAGATCTCATGAAAACTCACTCACCATGGTGGGAACAGCATAGAGGTAACCATGCTGGGATTCAATTACCCCCCAACGGGTCTCTCCCATGACACATGGGGATTATGAAAGTTATGATTGAAGATGAGATTGGGGTGGGGACACAAGCAACCATATCAATCAGTATCTGAGGAATAAAATTTAATACTCTAATAGATATCTAATAGATATGTAGTTAGAATACTGAAAAAAAGTCTAGGGTAAGTCAGAAAATAATATTTGAAGAGACACTGACAAAGAATTATCTAAATGTGATCAAAACTATGAATCCACAGATCTAAGAAGTTTAATCAACTGCAAGCATAGTAAACATACAGAAAATGATATCAAGGCACATCATAATAAAATTGTTGAATACAAGTCATAAAAAGAAAAAAATTAAAAGCAGCAGGAAAAAAAGACTATATACAGAGAGAGGAACAATGGTACATCATGACATAGACAACTTTGTGTCAGAAACTATTCAATACTGAGAAAACTAGAGCACTACCACAGAAGGACTAAAGAAAAATCTGGTTAATTTAGAATCCTATTCACAATGAAAATATATTTTAAAAGGCTGGCTAAATAAAACTTTTTTAGAATGAATGTATTGCTAATAGACATGACTATAAGAAAAGTTAAAAGAAATTCTTCAGGGTGAAGTAAAATATTTTAAGGAAACTGGGAGCTATACAAAGGAATGAAGACTTATAGAAAGTTATGTGGGTGAATAAAAATCTTTCTTCTCATTTTAATCACTTTAAAATCAATTGATTGAAAGGAAATTACAACTGACGTTTTGTGAGGCTTATAAACATATGATATATAAACAAGTACAGAATTAAAATGCTAGCTAATAGTACACATAAGGGGATAACTAGAAGTACAGTACACTGATTTAAGATTCTTACACTTTAATGTTATTTAAATAGCATTAGATGTTATTTAAATAGCATTAGATAATATCTGATTTAATGTTGTTTAAATAGCATTAGATAATATTTCATACTAAATACTATTTGAACTAGTTTTTTAAATCTAATATTTAATATTACTTGATGTTATGTTATGCATCTTAAATAAGAGTTTCTCAGTCTTGACACTACTGACACTTTGGCTTAGATAATTCTTTGCTATGGGGGGCTCTCCTGTGAATACTAGGATGTTGAGCAGAATCTCTGACGTCTACCCATTAAATGTCAGCAGCACACACACTTCCTATCCAATATGAAAGCAAAAAATATCCCCAGACACTGACAAATGTATCTTGAGGGCAATATCGCCGCTAGTTGAAAATCACTGCTTTAGAATAATTAAAATGTAAATAAAAGAGGAATAGCTAATGAAATAATAGTAAAAGTAAAGTGAAACACTAGCATATAATATTATTCCAAAAGAAAACATGAAAAGATTTTTGTTTAAATAGATGAGACAAGTGGAAAACAGAGACATTGGACTCAAACCCAATCATATTAAAAAGTACATTAAAAAGTATAGCAGTCTATAAACACCTCTACACAAACAAACTAGAAAATCTAGAAGAAATGGATAAATTCTTGGACACATACACCCTCCCAAGACTAAACCAGGAAGAAGCTGAATCCCTGAATAGACCAATAACAGGCTCTGAAATTGAGGCAATATTAATAGCTAACCAACAAAAAAAAAGTCCATGACCACACAGATTCACAGCCAAATTCTACCAGATGTACAAGGAGGAGCTGGTACTATTCCTTCTGAAACTATTCCAATCAATAGAAAAAGAGGGAATCCTCCGTAACTCATTTTATGTGGCCAGCATCATCCTGATACTGAAGCCTGGCAGAGACACAACAAAAGAAGAGAATTTTAGACCAATATCCCTGATGAACATCAATGCAAAAATCCTCAGTAAAATACCGGCAAACCGAATCCAGCAGCACATCAAAAAGCTTATCCACCATGATCAAGTGGGCTTCATCCCTGGGATGCAAGGCTGGTTCAACATACGCAAATCAATAAATGTAATCCAGCATATAAACAGAACCAAAGAGAAAAACCACATGATTATCTCAATAGATGCAGAAAAGGCCTTTGACAAAATTCAACAGCCCTTCATGCTAAAAACTCTCAATACGTTGGTATTGATGAGACTTATCTCAAAATAATAAGAGCTATTTATGACAAACCCACAGCCAATATCATACTGAATGGGCAAAAACTGGAAGCATTCCCTTTGAAAACTGGCACAAGACACGGATGCTCTCTCTCACCACTCCTATTCAACACAGTGTTAGAAATTCTGGCCAGGGCAATCAGGCAGGAGAAAGAAATAAAAAGTATTCAATTAGGAAAAGAGGAAGTCAAATTGTCCCTGTTTGCAGATGACATGATTGTATATTTAGAAAACCCCATCGTCTCAGCCCAAAATCTCCTTAAGCTGATAAGCAACTTCAGCAAAGACTCAGGATACAAAATCAATGTGCAAAATTCACAAGCATTCTTATACAGCAATAACAGACAAACAGAGAGCCAAATCATGAATGAACTCCCATTCACAATTGCTTCAAAGAGAATAAAATACCTAGGAATCCAACTTACAAGGGATGTGAAGGACCTCTTCAAGGAGAACTACAAATCACTGCTCAACAAAATTAAAGAGGACACAAACAAATGGAAGAACATTCCATGCTCATGGATAGGAAGAATCAATATCATGAAAATGGCCATACTGCCCAAGGTAATTTATAAATTTAATGTCATCCCCATCAAGCTACCAATGACTTTCTTCACAGAATTGGAAAAAAACTACTTTAAAGTTCATATGGAACCAAAAAAGAACCCACATTGCCAAGACAATCCTAAGCCAAATGAACAAAGCTGGAGGCATCACGCTACCTGACTTCAAACTATACTACAAGGCTACAGTAACCAAAACAGCATGGTACTGGTACCAAAACAGAGATATAGACCAAGGGAACAGAACAGAGGCCTCAGAAATAATACCACACATCTACAACCGTCTGATCTTTGACAAACCTGACAAAACAAGAAATGGGGAAAGGATTCACTATTTAATAAATGGTGCTGGGAAAACTGGCTGCCACATGTAGAACCTGAAACTGGATCCCTTCCTTACACCTTATACAAAAAAATAATTCAGGATGGATTAAAGACTTACATGTTAGACCTAAAACCATAAAAACCCTAGAAGAAAACCTAGGCAATACCATTCAGGACATAGGAATGGGCAAGGACTTCATGTCTAAAACACCAAAAGCAATGGCAACACAAGACAAAATTGACAAATGGGATCTAATTAAACTAAAGAGCTCCTGCACAGCAAAAGAAACTACCATCAGAGTGAACAGGCAACCGACAGAATGGGAGAAAATTTTTGCAATCTACTCATCTGACAAAGGGCTATTATCCAGAATCTACAATGAACTCAAATTTACAAGAAAAAAACAAACAACTCCATCAACAAGTGGGCAAAGGATATGAACAAACACTTCTCAAAGAAGACATTTATGCAGCCAAAAAACACATGAAAAAATGCTCATCATCACTGGCCATCAGAGAAATGCAAATCAAAACCACAATGAGATACCATCTCACACCAGTTAGAATGGCGATCATTAAAAGTCAGGAAACAACAGGTGCTGGAGAGGATGAGGAGAAATAGGAACACTTTTACACTGTTGGTGGGACTGTAAACTAGTTCAACCATTGTGGAAGACAGTGTGGCGATTCCTCAAGCATCTAGAACGAAAAATACCATTTGACCCAGCCATCCCATTACTGGGTATATACCCAAAGGATTATAAATCATGCTGCTATAAAGACACATGCACATGTATGTTTATTGTGGCACTATTCACAACAGCAAAGACTTGGAACCAACCCACATGTCCATCAATGATAGACTGGATTAAGAAAATGTGGCACATATACACCATGGAATGTCATGCAGCCATAAAAAATGATGAGTTCATGTCCTTTATAGGGACATGGATGAAGCTGGAAACCATCATTCTCAGCAAAGTATCGCAAGGACAAAAAACCAAACACTGCATGTTCTCACTCATAGGTGGGAATTGAACAATGCGAACACCTGGACACAGGAAGGAGAACATCATACACCTGGGCCTGTCCTGGGGTGGGTGGAGGGGGGAGGGATAGCATTAGGAGATATACCTAATGTAAATGATGAGTTAATGGGTGCAGCACACCAACATGGCACATGTATACACATGTAATAAACCTGCACATTGTGCACATATACCCTAGAATTTAAAGTATAATGATAATAATAATAAAAAAAAGTATAGCAATCTTTCTTTGACAGCCCCTCCCTAGGTCTCCTCTGTTACAAAGCTTGACAGACATTATGTCCTGCTCACAAGATCCAGGGAACATCTTTGCAGGCCTGGTTCCTGCTTTCCACTCTATGAATTATATTTAGCTATAACAATACCACTGTACCTCTGCCAATTCACAGAATTATTTTGGGCTGGCTTACAATAAGTCTCTCATCAATTCCTCCTTTAGAAAACTAGGAGTTTATGTAGTAATCCGTGTGTACATCTCAGACACCCTCAACTGTGTGTGACGCTCTCAAGCACCTAAATGGGCCCAGGCCCCAACAAGGTTTCAGCCTTTGATTGGAATTTGGAAGAATAGTTGCAAAGACACTTGAACTCTTTGAGCTCAAAGTTTGAACTCATTTGAGCTCAATCTTCTCACATTTTTATATAAAACACTGGGTTTGAAACATACTATCCAGTGATATAAAATGGAAAGGTATGTTTATATGTTGTTTCTGTAACTTAAAATTAGCTATATTGGGGTGTGTTTTTAATGTTAATGAATAGATAAAATTCTCATAATTTTGAACTCCCTTTAAAATAATCTATGTAGGATTCTGAGAGGCCAGGGGTTCAAGACAAGCCTGAGCAACAAAGGGAAATCCAGTTTCTATAAAAAATAAAAATGAAAATTAGCTGGGCATAGTGGCATGTACTTATAGTCCTAGCTACTCTGGAGGCTGAGGCAGGAGGATCACTTGTGCCCAGTAGTTTCAGGGTATGGTGAGGTATATGATAGTGATTTTATGAGGTCAAAATTTATACTTTTCCTTTAACTGCTTAATAGAATTTTAAAAAAAGGATTAGAACTCTCCTTCTTACAAAATAAACAAATGTCTAGATTTGACATTAATGGATGGCATTTGTTTAAAAATTACAATTTATAGGCCAGACACGATGGCTCCTGCCTGTAATCCCAGCAGTTTGGAAGGCCGAGGTGTATAGATGGCTTGAGCTCAGAAGTTTGAGACTAGCCTTGGCAACATGAGGAGACCCTGACTCTACAAAAAGTAAAAAAATCAGCAGGGTGTGCTGGTATGCACCTGTACTCCCAACTACTCAGGAGGCTGAGGTGAGAGGATCACTTGAGCCCAGGAGGTGGAGGCTGCAGTGAGCCGAAATCATGCCAGTGACACCCTGCCTCCCAAAAAATAACAAATAAAATTACAGTTCATATAACTGGCTAACTTATATGTATTTATTCTATCTAGGCTATTGAAATAAGTGCTTACAAAGTGATTTAAAAGCATGACGCTCGATGAAAGCATTTCTATTTCTATGGAGTATAAAATGGGATAAAAAATAAGGAATAAGGTGACATCCTTAACACTGTAATACAAAGAAAACTTAAATGGGCTGGTAATATGGTTTGAAGGATAAGTTATTCAAAAACCAATATAAGAGAAATAAAAGATATATTTGAATTTAAAGACATAATTTTCCTACTCATTTTGGTAGTACAGAGTTTATGACCAGGTATATACCTGAAAAAAAATTGAGCCAAAGAATGGTTCATAAACTACATAGTGTAGCCTTGAATAAGATAGGCAATTGATATTAATCTTATTCTTTCATATTAAGAAACTTCTTTAGTTTTCATTGCCTTTCTTTTCAGCACATTTAATCTATTCTTCCTGAGTGATATACTGTCAGAGGATAAAATGTAGAATCTGAAAATAATTTTGAAATCCTTTAAGAAGCTATAGTTCACCATTTTAAAAGAATGATATATAGACAATGTGAAAAAAATCTACCAATTGAGCCTGAGAATTACAAAGTTTTAGAAGCCAAAAAAGACAGAGTCCCAAAATAGGTCATAATACTAGAAAGAATTTTCTTTGCCAGATTTGTCGATCACAAACATGCTTCAAGTACAACACTGCAGTGTTTACTTTTGGCAATAATCTTCTCCAGTGTTTCAAGTTGTACCTTATGTTCTGTTTTTGTTATTTTTGTACTCCTGGTGTGCCAAACCCTACAGTAGATGATGGGCAAGTCAAACACAACCCGCCTTCACAAACAAGCATATTAAGAAGAGGAATGAAGGAACATACTTTTGAAATTTAAACTGAATTTGTTGTGATTTTAGAAAGAGGAAAAACTATTAAACAAAGATTACTACAAAGTCATTTCCAAGTCTTAGTAAAGCTATGCCAACACAACATTTGTGTGTGTGTTTTTTAATTTTCAGGATTTTTAGAACCTTCAATGATTTGAGCTGCACAGTGTACTTCATCAAATAAAGGGGTCTCTGCCATGTGAATTTCTCTTAACTCTAAAGAGCCATGCCACTTATGGAAATGTCAAGAAACTGCTGGGTGTTGGGTGAGCTTTTGATTTTTTAATTAAAGACCATACTTTATTTTTATTTTGTTAGTTTTCCCCTAATTTCCTTTGTTTTGTCCCATTTCAAAGTCACATCCAAGACACCACGTTGCATTGTCATAATTTTTAAGCTATTCAAGGCCGTAACAGTTTCTCAGGCTTTCCTTGCGTTTGATGACCTTGACGTTTTTGAGGAGAACTGATCAGATGTTTTGTAAAATGTACCTCAATTCAAATTTGTCTAAAGTTTTTTGCATGGTAAGATGGTGGTTATGGGTTTTTGGCAGGATGACCACAGAAGTGAAAAGCCATTATCATCACATCATATCAAGGGTTTGTGCTATTAACATGACTTCACTGTTTACCTTAATCACCTGGCTGAAAGAGGCTTGCCAGGTTTCTGTACCATAAAATAACCACTCTCATTTTTTTACTGCAAACTTTGGAAGCAAGTAACTATGAAAATCCCATTCTTAAGGGATATAAAATTATGTTTCCCCTCCTTGAGTGAGGAGAGTATCTACGTAAATTATATGAAACCCTAAAAAGAAAATTTGTCTCTTCTATCTCATTTATATGTCCAGTCATTTATTTGTATCAGTATGAACTCATGGGTATGCATTTTTTATTTGAGTTATAATATAATACTACATTTTGTTTATTGCTCAAACTTCCCCAGCTTTAGCCAGTGAGCCTCTTTCAGTTGTTTACTATTCCCCTTTGACACACCTACATCATTGCGTTTAAATTCGCTATGTCCTTACTTTCTGGTCCTACAAGATATTCAAGGTTCATCTTTTATATTCCATATCCCTGCCCTAGAATCAGCCATTTCTCCAAGTAGCCCTAGTTCTTTTTATTGGAGAGTCGTATTAGAAACCAAGTGTTGGGTGTGCTTGTTGTTACTGAAGCATTGTTGGTTCTGCGAACAGAACTATGGAATATATGTAAGTATACCAAGCTTACACACAACAATTTTTATAATTATTTCTCTATCCATCTGTATTTATATTACATTATACATGAGTTCATACTGATGGCTTCGACTCTAATCCAGTAACATAGGATTTATTCTAACCTTCTTCCCTTTTGTGTCTGTAGCTTCACCCTTTTACAAGTAACCTGGTTTCCACCTTCTGCTATCCTTGTAATTATCTGTTCAATACTAGTATATATGCAGAGTGCTTTCAGAATTATCAAACCATATGGAGTAAACTTTTAAGTTAAAGATCCTAGATGGCACGGTGTTAGTGCATATGAAGAGACAGTTCTAGTTTCAATCAACTTGGCAATTATTTTGTTTCTACATTCTTTTCAAGAATGCTAATCTCAAGGTTCATAATGTAATTTTAGCAATAATTAAGTGCATATTTGATGGGCAATCTGTCAGAAACAGCAGGTATTTTAAAGTATATCCTACTATTAATGAAGAGCTTAGTAAGTATAGTACTACTACTACTACTTATTTCATGTCCTATTAGCATTCAGAGCTAATAGATACTATTAAGGGAAATTATAGAAATTCAACTTTCTTAGCATCCGTATCATATTTTCCTACCATTATCTTACAAGCTCTTAAATCCCCTTAAATAAAAACACATGAAATTCGTATTTAATATTAGGTTGGTGCAAAAGTAATTGCGGTTTTTGCCATTAAAAGTAATGGCAAAAAACCGCATAATAATCACATAGACAATACTATTGTAAATATGTATATATATATTTAGACAGAGTCTAGCTCTGTTGCCAGGCTGGAGTGCAGTGGTGCCATCTCGGCTCACTGCAACCTTCATCTCCTGGGTTCAAGTGATTTTCCTGCCTCAGCCTCCCAAGTACCTGGGATTACAGGCACCTACCACCATGCCCAGCTAATTTTTGTATTTTTAGTAGAAATGGGGTTTCACTGTGTTGGCCAGGCTGATCTCGAACTCCTGACCTCGTGATCCACCTGCCTTGGTGTCCATATATATATATATATATATATATATATATATTTTAATTGCTATAATTAGCTCAATTGGCTTCTATTATTAAATACTACTGTGATAGTTAATTTTATGTGTCAACTTGACTGGGCAAATGAATGACAACTTGAGTGTGTCTGTGAGGGTATTTCTACAAACAGTGAGCACTTTTTTTTTTTTTTTTTTTTGAGATGGAGTCTCACTCTGTCGTCAGGCTGGAGTGTAATGGTGCCATCTCAGCTCACTACAACCTCTGCCTCCCAGGTTCAAGCAATTCTTCTGCCTCAGCCTCCCAAGTAGCTGGGGCTACAGGTGTGTGCCACCATGCCTAGCTAATTTTTGTATTTTTAGTAGAGACGGGGTTTCACCATATTGGCCAGGCTGGTCTCGAACTCCTGACCTCGTGTTCCACCTGTCTCAGCCTACCAAAGTGCTGGGATTATAGATATGAGCCACCATGTCAGGCCAACAGTGAGCATTTGAATCAATAAACTGAGTAAAGACGATGACCTTCACTAATGTGGTCATATCTCAATCCTCCTTTCCAGGGCCTGACTAGAACAAAAGGATGGAGGAAGAGCAAATTCTCTCTTTGTCTTCATGAGATACTTCTCTGGTGATTGCTAATACAATAATCAACTCAAACTCTGAAAAATCATCTTGATTATTGGTAAGTCATGAGGTTTATTTTTATAATCAGTAAGTTTATGAATGGCCAGCACATTCTTATCAAGTAATCTATTCTACATAATTGTTGTCCTTGGGCTAGAACTTCTGTTAAACAACTGGAAATTTTCTAAGACTCAGGGATAAATCTATAATGTGTGCATTCACAGCTCTATTTCACTAATTTAACTACAAGAGTAAATATTTAATTAAATTTGAAAGTCTCCATGAAGTATCTACTTGAATAAATCATGACATATACTTCTAAAACATTGGCTTTCAGTCTAAACTACTACAGTGATTTTTTAAAAACTCATTTAGGAATAGAAAGTTATTTAAGACTGATACTAAGCTAGTATCGTGCATATCTCTTTAGAATAATAGAAATGTTCTAAATTTGACACACTGTTTATCTCAGGGATTATTTAATTATATATTCTTTAAGGTCAGGGGAAAAACTCCATTAATTTTATTTAAATGAAAACATTCATTCTCAGAAGCTAGGGAATAATAATTACTATTATTAATTATTAATAGTAATGTGGTAATGATTATTACAATAACTTGCAATTGTTTTAATGCACTTCATTGCGTGCTTTATAATTTATGCATCTTGTTTAAATGTTTTAAAATAGCATTAAGTAAAAAAAGTTCACAAAAGGTTATATCAACTGCTGCTTAGTTTTTATTATTACTGAAAAATGAGATGTTCAGCAACTTTTAAACTAGACTTTTAGCTGCCAATTTTTTTGATAATCCTTATACTTGGGTAGGGCTCTTTGACTCCTTCTGGGCAGTGGGTCATGTACTGAAGCAGTACAGATCACCTCTGCTCTGGGGCATTTAAACGCAAATGTTAAAATCTCAAATATCTCTTCCTCCACCACTTTTATCAAAGATACGCTTCAGATTGTCATGCTAGAAGTTGATGGTGAAAAAAAATGTTGATGCTGCCAGAAACACAGTGGATTGATGATTACTCTGTAGCACAATCCTATCCTCCCTATTACAGAAATTAATATCAGAAGAGGTTCATTGCTATAACTCAAGCCTCAAAAATGTGAGATTAGCCTTTAGATGTTGAATAAGTTGAAATAGGACATTAACACAATAGCATTATATGTTATGTAGTTTCTAAGTATTTGATAAAATCATCTATCACCTGTGGCACTTGAGAGGTAGATAATATACCTAATAAACTTTAATATGTAATTATTGTAAAAACATTAATAGTGTATGTTGACTACTGGGGGTTGTTTTTTGCAAGGTATTAAAAGAAACAGATGACCTCAGGAAAACAAAATAGCTGTGCAAACAGAAATGTACAGAAATAGAGGAAGTCTAAAAATTTTGGGGCCTTGGGAGAGGCAGATTATTCTCAGTTCCAAATAATAAATTATAAAACTAAGAATGTTTTAGAATTAAAAGGCCCCTAAAAATTTGTCCTCAAGGTAAGGACCAAATTAAGGGTATGGCCTTCACCTTATTGTGGAAACCTGGGAAAGGACTAAATGGCCTCTACCTAAGGATCAAATCAAAGGTGTGGTTCTCAGTCATGCCTTTCAATTAGACCACAAGGCTCAGGAAAAAAAGATTTGAATCTTGAGACTCTCCCACCTAAACCTGATGGGATTAAAACACTTTGAATTTAATTACAACCAGAGTCTGGCAAAACCTCAGCATACCTAGGCTATTTCAAGAATTTAATTAAGTCATAACTATGTTCTTGGACAATACTAAGATACATTTGCCTTTCTACTTTGTTTATATTTTCACTAATTGTTCAAAACCAATGGTGGTTAAAGATTCTGGTGTTTTAGCAGGTACCAAGGCACTGTCAGGAAGCTGTAGTAGTATTCATTGAATTCTTCCTTGCCAAGCACTTCCAGAAAAGCAAACAATTTTACTTAAGAACTTCCTTGATAAGACATTGACATTATTGATTTAATTAAATCTTGAATCTTGTACTTACATACTTTTAACGTCTTGTGTGATAAATCAGGAAGTACACATATGTGTCTGCATAGGTTGGGAAAATATAATTGAAAACGAAAACTTTGAATTCAGAAAACCTCTCCACAAAGTTAGTAGAGAAAGAAAACAGTTTTATTATTGAGCAAGTATTAAACCAAAATGAGATGTACGGCCGGGCTCAGTGGCTCACGCCTGTAATCCCAGCACTTTGGGAGGCTGAGGCAGGTGGATCACGAGGTCAGGAGTTCCAGACCAGCCTGACCAACATGGTGAAACCCCGTCTCTACTAAAACTACAAAAAATTAGAAGGGCGTTGTGGCACACGCCTGTAATCCCAGCTACTCAGGAGGCTGAGGCAGGAGAATCACTTGAACCTAGGAGGCGGAGGTTGCAGTGAGCCAAGATCATGCCATTGCCCTCCAGCCCCGGCAACAGAGCAAGATTCCGTTTCAAAAAAAAAAAAAAGATGTACATCATAGGTAATCTGCTAAGAGATTACACATATAGAAAAAAGTCACACTCTTTTACGTAGTCAAGCAGTACAACCTATTACATCCATATTACATCAAAATCGTAGTTAGTGCTCAAATTGTTACCAGTGGAAGATATCCAAATTACCAGTAGAGAATCCCTATGAGTTTGCAGCAACCTCAATTTTTGGCTCCTCAGAAGAAAGATTTTGACTGAGGGGCATAAGGGAGAAAAGGAGACCAAGGCAAATTTCAGAGTTGGTGTGAAAGTTCATTTAAAAAAGACTTCAGAACAGGAAAAAAGGCAAAGAAAAGTACACTTAGAAGAGACCCAAATGGGCATGCAAAGGTCAAGTGCCATGTTTAACCTTGAACCTAGACCTTTAGAGACTGGCTCCTTTTCCATTATTCTTCTCTTAGCGTGGTCTGCCCGCCAGCCAAGTCCTCTCCTCACCATTGGGAAGTGAGCAAACGCAGAGTTTTTTTAGGAAGCTGTACGCTTGCGCATCTGAGGCTTTCTTCCCTCTTCCAGCTGCGTGCCCCTGGAAGGTCATATTCACCATTTTGTCTCTTAGTGCGCATGTCCAAGAAGTTGCTTTTCCGTAGCATCCGCATTGAATTAACACTTTAGTGCAATAAGTATAACCCATCATGAAATAGCCTCTCCCTGGGGCCAGCAGCCAATTTATCACGTTTAAAGGAGCAATGTGATCATTGCTGAACCATCGCTTGACATTCCTAATGGGTGGGAGAGAGAGCCCTCTCCCGCCCTTGCTCATGCCTTTCTAACTACCTGTAACAAAGTAAGAGGACTTGGCAGCACCTTTTATTACGCAATGTTCATCCTAAATTCATCTAGTAATTGGAGTGACCACCCCTGTTAGTTAATTGGTTTTAGACAATGTAAAAATAAACTTTTATTTTTTGACAAGAAGTTTTGCCATGGAGTAAAGCATCTACCAGTTAAGTTTCTACCTTCTCACAGACTCACAGATACAGAGAGATGAAAGTGCTGTCTTCCTTGGATATTTACATTCCCAAGGGATGTTTTTCAGGTGCTTGAGACTTTTCTGAGTTGTAAAGCTGTCTTAAGACTTGTTACCTTTTAAAGAGATTTAAATTCATTTCAAAAAGATTGAGAAGGAATTACAAAGTTTCTAAAGTAAATCCTCTAAGAAAAATGAGGGAGGGAGAAGTCTTTCCCCTGTTCATCAAAAGAATTGTCTCTTTATTTTTAATTTGCATTTGCTGTTATCCATACTGAAGAACAATGGTTCAAAGAAAAGCATTTGTACAATTGTTTGAGTCACAAGGGAAACTAGAAGCTTTTTTTATGGAACAACTTTTTTACTACAATGTCCAACTAACAGATAAGCAATGGTTATGCACATTTAAGCAACTGGCGAATATTCTCTCCAAGATGAATTAAGTGAACCAGTCACTTTAGGAAAAAAAACTGATGGTATTTGTTGCCAATGATACAATTCAAGCTTTCAATATTATAATTAAAAAACTTATATCTGCTTTAATGTGCTTGACATTCTATTCAAATGTTTTCTTGATGACATCAGTAGTAATAACATATGTAATTTTTAAAATACTGTTTAATAAAACATGTCAATATTGAAAAGAACTACTAAACTAAGGAAGCCATGCTTTCCAAATATCCAACATAATGTTATAAAGTTATGCATGGGTAAACAATCCATTCGTAGTGCAAGATACATCAATGGATTTAAAAATGACAGAATCCAGTTTTTTAAATATAGTTTTGAATTCTGTATTGCACAAAACTTTGAGAAACTACCACTTGTTCAATATTAGTGCAGTATAAACAAACAATATCCACAATTATCTGAATATACCGCCATCAAAATTCTCCAGCTTTGTCCAACTTTCAATGTGAGGCTGAATTTTCTTTATATACTTCATCCAAGACAACATATTGCAAGAGACTAAAGGCAAAACAAAAATGAAAATCCAGCTGTGTTCCCTTAAGCTAGGCATTAAAGAGATTTCCACTTACTATGAAAGAAAACACTTTTTTCACTATATTGTTTTGAAAAATAGTTATGCTTTATGAAAAGAGGCTATTTCTATTAACATACAACAGATTTTTGATACTATTTTAAATAAACATTTATAATATTTGTTTAAATTTTTATATCATATAGACAGATATAACCCAGATGAACAGAGCTTCTTTGAACTTTTCAAAGATTTTTAAAAAGAAAAATGGTTCTTAAGGTCAAAAACTATGAGAACCACTGATTTAGAGCAACAAGAGAGTTATAGTGGTTAGAAAGCAAGTATATAACTCTAGGAACCATGCTTTTCAGAAACATATAGGAGTGGCTGCTGGTACATGCGGCTGACTGTTATAAAATACATAAGCAGTATGAAAGGTTCTCAGAAACATGTGCTGTCAAAAAGAAACAACAAAAATGGCTTAAAAGATGTGGTGATGGTTAAAGTCTTAAGATGACTCTTGAGCTTACAATCATATCTGGAAAGAAAAGAGCTGAGAGAACCTTTCAGTCCCCAGTGAAGGAATAGATCTTATGTATACTTCCAGTGTTGGTCAAAAAGATAGTGGGAAAGGGATGATCTCCAAGAGAGAATATTCTGATCCTAGACAGAAAAATAAACCAACATTTATTTAATATCTGTTGAGTGTACCTTTTCATTAGTCCTCAAAACAATTATTTCAAAACAAACAAACTCAGCCCCTTCATAGAGAAAAGTAATCTAATAAGGCACAAGAAGTTGAAGTGACTTGCCTAAAATTAACAAAGATAATAAGTTATGGAGGCAGCATTTAAGTTGGTGTTATTTCATCAGGAGATAAGAGTTGGGCAGGACTAGTTTCCCAACACACAGGTCACAAAACTGTGCTGATAAAATAGGATGCGGTGGAGAAGCTGGCCAAAATCTGCCAAAACCAGGACGGCAACAGAAGCAATCTCTTCTTACACTTGTTCCTCATTATAGACTAATTATAATACATAATCATGGTGAAAGAAACTCCCATTGGTACCATGACAAATGCCATGGCAACTCCCAGAAGTTACCCTCTATGGTCTGAATAGGGGAAGAACCCTTAATTCCAGGAACTCTCTACCCTTTCCAGAAAAACTCCTGAATAATCCAACTCTTATTTAGCATATAGTCAAGAAGCAATCATAAACACAGCCAGTCAACAGCCCAAGAGGGCTACTCTGCCTATGAGGTAGCCACACTTTTATTCCTCTTCTTTCTTAATAATTTCACTGCCACTTTACTCGGATGACTTCCTCTTGAATCTTTTCCTGTGTGAAGACAAGAACCCACTCGGCCTCCCTGGCTGTGCCACAACCTTGGGGTAAGTCTGCCTGTAACAATCAGATAATATAGTCTTTTCTGATTAAAATATGATTGTGTGTTCATTCATTCATTCATCATTCAGTACATTTTGAATGGCTACTGTCTGTAAATGACACTGTCTTTGAAATAATGTATTTTTTAAAAATTTGACTTAAATTTTGCCTTCAAGGTACTTGTAGCCCCATAAGCAGATAAGATATGCACCTCAATTTTTATAATTTTATAATATAGAGAAGATGAAAAGTAACTGAGGGTGTGGGGGTGTGATGGTTAATACTGAGTGTCAACTTGATTAGATTGAAGGATGCAAAGTATATTTCCTGGGTATGCAAAGTATTGTTCCTGGGTATGTCTGTCATGGTGTTACCAAAGGAGATTAACATTTGTGTCAGTGGACTGGGAAAGGCAGACCCAACCTCAATCTGGGTGGGTACCATCTAATCAGCTGCCAGCATGGCTAGAATAAATCAGGCAGAAGAATTTGGAAAAAGCAGACTTTCTGAGTCTTCTGGCCTTCATTTTTCTCTCATGCTAGATGCTTCCTGACCTCAAACATCAAACTCTAAGAGCTTTTGGACTCTTAGACTTACACCAGTGGTTTGCTAGGAACTCTCAGTCTTTTAGCCACAGACTGAAGATTACACTATCAACTCGCCTACTTCTGAGGTTTTGGGACTCCTGCTGGCTTCCTTGCTCTTCAACTTGCAGATGGCCTATTGTGGGACTTCACCTTGTGATTGTGTGAATCAATACTCCTTAATAAACTCCCTTTCATTTTATCCTGTTAGTTCTATCCCTCTAGAGAACCCTAATACAAGGGTCATAGGCTCTTGGGCCCCTAAAGGTTCACCTAAAAATTATTGACATGATTGATCAATAAGAGAAAATGCATACAGATTTATTTAAGGTGTATACATAGGAGCCTCCAGAATGAACACCCCATTTTTCAATGAGTAACAGAAGTTTACATACCATCTTGAGGTTACAGAATAAATGGGAGCTTGGATCCTTATACAACAGATTTAGCGGCAAGACAGGTTATGAGAGAGAGAAAGGAAGAGTTTGGCCAAGAAAAGTGTCCTTGCTGTGTAGATGAAGCCTCCGTCAGAGGGAATAGATGGTGAATGTTTCTTTTCAGACTTTTAAAGATGTCAGACTCTCAATCTCTCCTAGATCTGGGAAAGGCATAGAAAGGGTAAGCATGGCTGCATTAATGAAGATTCTCTACTGATGCTAATTTCACCCACCTCAGTCTGCTAACCCTAAGGCAGCCATTTCAAAATATGCCAAAAAGTACATTTTGGGGAAACATATTTTTAGATCATTCAAGAGGATTAGTACAAGCAAAAGTCTAATCTTTAATCAAGGATTATCAGAAAAGAATTGGTGAAAAGGTCATCTTGGTAAAAGGCTTTGTTTTTATTGTTAATATTCATCATTTCAGTTTTTCTCCAATGTTCTCTTGGTATGTTGATATTTTCACCACATTAAAAAAATCATATTTGCTAGAACAAGAATTATCTGGATATACATATTTTGAAAGAATACTCCAAGGAGAAGCAACACTTTTTAGTTAAGGTTATTAAAAGAATGTGTGGATATAGCTGTGTGTCCAAGTAACATTTTTTCTATGTATTATTCTAGCTGGTAAAGTGAAAGAAATTCAAGGCAAATGTAGTGTTAAGAGAAAAACCTTAGACAAATTAAATTTAACAGAGTTTAATTGAGCAAAGAACAACTCGTGATTCGGGCAGCCTCCTGAGCTAGAGTAGGCTCAGAGAGACTCCAGTGTAGCCACATGGTGGAAGATGATTTATGGGCAGAAAAATAGAAGTGACATACAGAAAATGGAAGTGAAATACAAAAACAGCCAGATTGGTTACAGCTCAGCATTTGCCTTATTTGAACACAGTTTGAACGGTTGGCCACCTTTAATTGTTCAAAACTTGGCGACTGGCACAAAAGTAGGTTACTCTGTCTACATACCCAGTTAGGTTTCAGTTTACTATGTGGGGAGAAATCTTTAGGCTTCACTTAAAATATTTAAGGAGGCAACTTTAGGCCAAGGTTAACAGTAGGATTATAGGAGGTCTATTTTATAAAGCTAAAGAGACATTACATTATTCTCAATTTACAAACAGAAATATACATTTCAGACAGAAATGTCAATTTCTGTGATTACAGATGAATAGTCTATCAAATACACACAAATATTTGACATCTTATCTAGTAATGATAAAATAAAGCAGAATAAGGGAACTAAGAACGATGGTGGGGCTTCTCTTTGGAAGTGACATTTGAACAGAGACCTGAAACAATCAATACCAGAGAAAAGCTTTCCAGGCACAGGGAACCATACTGCAATGTTCCTAAAAGGAAAATAATCTTGCTGAAAGTGACCCTTTCTAAGGTGGGCAGTTCCTTCAGGATATCTTCCACCATGAAGCCGGCCTGCTGTAACTGAACTCAGGTCTGACAGCCAAAAAACTCCAGAGATGAGCTTTGGTGAAAGGAAGGTTAGCTTTATTTGAAAAGCCAGCAACCCAGGGAAGTCAGTCAACCTCCGCTCAAAGACCATCATTCCAAGTTGTGCCTCTGGATCAGGGGATTTTAAGGGCAATTAGGAAAAATTATGATCAGATCATTCCTGTGCAACATGCATAGTTTCAGGCAGGCAGTTAGTGATTGCTTTCTTGGTATTTCATGGCTCTATGCAGATACCCTTAGCCTATTCTAATCAGGCTGGCCAGCCCATTCCAAGGTTGCGGGTCTGTGTATTTTCTTTTATCTCTGCTGAAGGTCCTGTACTCCCACGGCTGTTTTTAGTAAATAATCTTCATACTCAAGCAAAGCAATAATTATATTCAAGTGAGCAAACTTCTCTCTAACATGGAGTCAGCACTGTTACACTGCTGCTTTTGTTCTTTACCAAATTATTCCCCGGGCTTGTACAATTGTCTCTCAAAAACTACTGTTCATTGAGGACCTACACTGTGTCAGGAGTTTTCATCTATGCTATTATCAAGACACATGACAGTAGAGATTATATGGTCATCACCCTTAACCAATACAAAAACTGTTCCTCTGAAGGAAAATTATCCTGTGAGATTTGGATTTAGTGCTGACTGACCACCCAAAGCCTGGACCCTCTCCTCTCTTTTACACAGTCTCCAATGAAATTGAAGTACATTTTATTTTTCTCAAATATCCAGGTCTCACAAAGAATTCTGGGAAATAGACTGAGACTAGTTTCATAGAAATTGGGAAAGTAAATACTGAAAATTGTGGTGTTTATAGGAAAGTAATTTCATCGGATGCAACTCATTCATGTCCCTTGAATCATGAGCAACTTGAGGAACACTCACAGAGTCATAGAGGACTGCATGATAAAGAACTACACAGTGGTCATCTCTCTGCTTTCTTGGGATACAGGCATCCAAAATTTTAAGGACTTGGAGAAAGTATATCTTGGTATATGCAAAGGGAATTTTAGCAGGATAATATTAATTCACAGTTAGTGGCAGAAAGAAGTAATTCCAGGCACTGTTTCTTTTATTTTCCATATAAATCTGAAAATCATTGACTATTCACATTTAGTGTAAACTTCTGTAGTTCACAAATATAGTTGCTCAGATGTGAGAGGATCCCGTCTACAGGGAAAGAGTGCAACAGTTCCAGTTGATTAAGACTGTCCATCTCATTCAAATATTTTGTGTTTATATATATCAAGGAACACATTCCCCAGAGCACAGTGAGACTCGAAACTTTATTTTGATGGTAGGTTTGTGTTTTAACTGCAAGCAAAACAGAAATTAAAAATGTGAAAGAGTCATTTATCATCAAGATCCAAACCTGGGGCATTAACTGATTTGAATTTTTCAGTTTTGTAGAGGTTAGGGCAGATTGGATTGTGGATTTCCCTCAGATTTTCAATGTATTTATTCAATTTAGTTGGTGGGTGCATATTTTCCTAGTGCTTTGAAAGGATGGAATTCAGCACAAGACTCTTCATGGTACAGATCATGCAGTCCTCTGAAACTTTTAGTATATATTTGTATTTAATTTTAATTGTTTTAAAAATTGTTTTAAAATTTAATATGTAGTTAATTTACATTTCTTAAGCATAGTAAGTAAATTGACTTTACTTACTGAGCTGGTAGATGGGAGCCATAAACTTAGAAAATGCTGAAATTTATCTGTCATGTAGAAGCCATGTAGGATGGAAAGAATGAACCAGATAATAGGAATAAAAGCCAAGTACAATAATATTATGGTATGGTATATTTTTAATATTATCATTTAAGCATTGATAATAAAGCAACCCCACCCAGAACATGGTTTTTCATTACTATTCCTTATCGGCTTTTTTTTTTTAAGCTACATAATACTATGTAGTATTGGTGAACATTTAGGTAAGTAATTTGCTAGTATGCCAGCAGACTAGGGCTTTGGACATATTTGAAATGATTAATAGACTTAACATCCCCATCATTCCAATCCTCATAAGATTTCAAGAAGGTAAACATAGTTCTGACTCTTCTAAATTCAATCTTTGTATCCTCCTGAGTAGCTGGGACTAAAGGCATGAGCCACCGTCCCCGCCTCACTGTTTTAGTTTTCTGTAGAAACGAGGTTTCACTATGTTGCCCAGGCTTGTCTTGAACTCCTGTGCTCAAGTGATCTTCCCACCTCAGCCTCCCCAAATGCTAGAATTACAGGCGTGAGTCATTGTGCCCAGCCTGTTTCTAGGTTCATTTTATATAGAAGCTTCATTGAGTTGTTGTAATACATTTGCAATGTATTTCATTAGAAGTAATTCAATATTTAACTGTTAATGACATAATAGTTCATGCTTCACACATTCTAAGCCCAGTTCTTTCTTTGCTGAGAGGAATATATCTTAGTGTAGGCTGGGGAAAGGTGAATATTATTCATTATATTATTTGAATGTGTATTAACTTGTATCAAGTAATCACAAATGAATGTAGTCAAAATTTGTGCTTCTGAATATTTAATATATTATTAATAATAGCAAGTTACCCAGGGGTAATTAAAAAATTATTTAGCATATGACATTTGAGAAAAATAAATCTGAGTAATACATTGTGCAGTGTTAAGCATTTAAATCTGTAAAAACAGTAAATCTTAAAATTAGATAAATGGCAGCACACAATTTTTGTGTGTGCTAGTGTAAGATCATACAAAGGAGGAAACCTATGGGAATTGTTAGATTTAATTATTCTCTAAAAACTGGGTACAAATGCACATCAAAGCAACATTACTATTATTATGACAAAAGTTAAATATAATTCTTATATAAGTGGTTCATATAAACCAATATAAAAAACAGAATTGAAAATATCCACGTTTGGTGATCTCCCAGTTCACCAATCATACGTATGAAATACGAAAATAATTCAGCTGTTTTTCTATTTAATTGGCAAGCATATGAAGAATATAAAATAATCCATAATTAATCGTGGAAGGAAACCAGCTAGAATTTGTACATAGTAATGCAAACAAAATATGGCAATTCTACAATTTTCCATGAAAAAATTAGAAAAGAATTACATATGTAAAACATTATTATTCACAAATGTGATTAATAATATTTTTAAAAGGACAGAAACCAAATGTTTATTTGGAAAATAATAATATATATTGAAATACCAGTGCACAAAAATAAAAATCATATATATATGTGAGTGTGTGTGGGTATACATATATATGTGTATACATATATACATATATATATATACACACTTGGAAAATGCTGTATATATATATACTTGGAAAATGTGTATAAATATATATACACACGCGCGCACACACACACACACACACACACACACATATAGCCTTAAAAATGTTTGGCATGACATACTTGAGTAAAAACATAAAACATATTACAAACTATATGGTCAATTTTTGTGAAATAGAGCAATGCTTTTACAAAGGTACATATTTAACAATGTACAAAATATTAACTAGCAAAATTTTGAAGTGTTTCTCCTTTGGTAGCCTTAGTTCAGATGATTTTTAAATTGAATTTATATGTTCTTATTTTCCATATACTATATTTCCTTTAAAAGAACATATTACACTTGACAGAAATAAGATAATGTTAAAATTCACATAGGATTTTTAACTATTAACATGGTAAATTTTCAGAACTCATTGAAAAACTTATAAAGTGATAATAATTGAGGTAATTGCTTTTTCTTCATACTAAACTTCACATTTTCTGAGTGCATAACACATCACACATATTATGTCTTGCCTGATTCTTAGAATTTATAGTTAAACAATTTTGTATTTTTCATTTACCTTCTGCTTGCAGAGTTTTGTTCTGATGCCTGCCCCCTCAGAAAATAGTACTTAAAATGTTGTCTTTTAATTATTATTTTAGCTAAATTACCAGAAACTGTATGAGTCTTTTGTGAATCTAGTGTGCCTATATATAACAAACAATGTTGTTTGATGTGTTTGGGCAAACGGCATCTCAGTTTGCCAGAGAGAAATGGACTAATGTCTCCACTGAGGCATAGAACTTTGAAAGATTCACAGTTATTTTATTGAAGTTTAGCTGTACATAGACAATTAAGGAAGAATTTGTGCAGATGTGCTGTTTCTTCAGATTTTTTCTTTCTCATAGCTTTTCAAATCAGTCAGAAAATTGTCTCCCTGTTTCTGGCAGTAAGTGCTGTATGTTACCCAGTAACAAAATTGCTCGGTGAAGGTTTCAGTTCTTGCTTTTTTTTTTTTTTTCAAAGCTCGGAATCAAAGTTCATTATAACATGCTGTCAGTTCCGTGGTATAAAAATCTTGCGTTACAAACAGAAAGCATAGCCTATTAGGGAATAGGTTAGAAGGCCATGAAATGAAGTTTGACTGGGGCAAAGTCTCCTAAGAACTAACTATACCCTGGCATTGCTTTTTAATGCATTCCCTTCACTGCTTTAAGTGCCCCCAATGAGAGCAAGTTTTGTAGAGAATCACTATCTTCCCAAAATTAGTAAAAATATTTGAGGGACTTTGTAAGGCGAAAGAGAGGAGCATTGCTATGAAATATACTGAGTCATTAATTTGAAAATTCTTCAAGTATTAAAAATTTGAGGGATTTTTCTTCCCCTGTCTTCCTTTAACTGGTGGAATCTGGTTGAAATTGAACACCAATAATTCAATATTACTTGAACACAAGATTTTTACTCACAGAAGTAGTTGTGGTAGACTAATTGCAAAACATCCTCTCTAACTATATCTTCTCTAAAATGTGACTTTGCATCTATTCCCATCAAGGACAGAACCTCTTCTTCCACTCCTTGAATCTGGCTGGTTTTATGACTGCATTTGATCAAGAGAGCTAGGTGGTGCGGAAATAAATCCAGACCACTCAAATGAGTACAAGCAAAGGCTATTTATTCAGAGCTTGCTACCACAAGGAAGTCAACCACTATTACCTGCATTGTGGCCAAGACTCAAATGCAGGCAGAGAAGTGGGAAAGCTTTGTCATGGAAAAACATGGAAGGTTTCAGGTATGCCTCGATTATTGGCATAGGGAAACTCTAGACAGGTTACCTAAAAACAAGGCATCCTATGTGACTAATTAGGGGTGCAAAATTGGCTGTCTTCAGTTGGTCCTAAGTTGAAAGTAGGGACAGAAATTAAAAGAAGCTGCCAGCTATGAATCAAATTCTGGCCATTTGGGACTAATTGTTACAGGCATTATTGTTTTCCTGGGCTGGCTGCTAGAGACAGTAGTTTCACTTCCTGGACTGGTTATTGCAGAAAGTAGTTCAAAGTTTTATTTTATATACAGTCTGGCCATTGTCTGTTAGGTATTCAGTCTCTCAGTAGAAAGATAGGTTGACAGTTTCAAACTTAGGCCTCAAGAGTCCCTGAGCACTTCTGTCTCTCTCTCTTTTTTTTTTTTTATTTGGCCAGTGCTATGTGTTTAAGCTTCAGGTAGCCCACTAGTGGTTAAGAAGCCACATGGTAGAAAGCCCAAATGCCCCAGCCAATGCCATCCTAGATCAGCTTACCAGCCAGCTAACTTGCAAACATGGGAGAAAACTCAACCAGATCAAGGGTCTCTTCATGCACAACATACAGCAAAATACAGACACGTGACTTGGTTTAGCCGAGCACAGAATATCGTGAGTCCTATAATCATGAGCAGTAATAAATATTTATTGTTTTAGGACACTGGGTTTTAGGATCTTTTTATCATCATTACATAATAAGCATTTTATAGTATATTTCATTATTTGAGAAATTCAAACTAATAACCCAATTAAATCCCAAATATTTTGATTTGTACCTTGTGTGTTGACAAAAGCCTGAGGCTTGAGGATTCAGAGATGAAATTGAGCCTACTGAATTATATTTTTGAAGTTAAAAAAAGGTGTTGCATTTATTTACATCCTAATAATTTAGCTTGCAAAATATAGAATCACGTTTTTTTGTTTTGTTTTGTTTTGTTTTATTCCACAGTAATGGCATTCCCACTGCACTGCACAGTGAGAGAATTTGTTTCTTTTCTATATAAATCACATCCTCCTAATGTAACTTTGAAGAGGAGAATCAGTAACTCCATTGGATGTTTAGCTCCTAGAAAGAAGAATGTTCTCAAAGAACAGAAAATGAATTTTGTCCCTGCCGAGCATTAACATGTGGATGTCATTGCTAAGGGCCCATGCACTGTATAATTTGAGTTATATTTTACCACTTTCTTGTAAGTGCTCAATAATTCATTTCCTTGTTTTTCTTATATTCAGGTCAAATAGATGAAGACTAATGTCAGTAGAATTGGATTGAGTTTCTTCATCACATCAAAATTTTTATTGCTGCTCGTTTGCCTTTATATTAATGTTGTGTGGATGTAGACACATGCATGCAGGTATTCTTATGGATATATGAAGTAGTCCAGAAGAAGAAAAGCAATCAAGATCTTATTTAGAAATATTCTGTCATTTATAGTACCCACTTTGTCTTTCCAGCTACTGGGGTATTGGGGCAGGGAAGCAGGTAGCTTTTCAAAGACACCAAGATGCACACTCACCATCTGAAACATCTCAAGACCTTACTATTAATTAAACACTCAAAATCCTTAGATGAAGAATCCCTCCATATAATGGTTCTGAGTATCTTGAAATTTTCAATTCCTTTAACTTGATTGGTTGACATCAAAGGATCTTTTCTTCTTAGAATAGTAGTGCATTTATTTTATAATTTTTTACAAGTGTTGGTAATTACTATAATAAACACAAGGATTACAATAATAAACAGAAGGTATTTTAAACCATTTTATAACATTTTATGTGTATATTTATTTAAATCTCAAGCAAAGGTTCATCATAGAATTAAACAAAATTCTTCTAAATTACACCCACTCTAAATTACCGCAACTTAGAAACTCAAAGGAAAAAGTAAACAAATGAGACACAATCAAAATTCTAATATAAATCATACCATGCCCAGGAATATATAGCAGTTTTCAGCTTTCTGACATTTTAGTACAAATTGTTGCCTTTGCAATGAGACAATCCCATTGGAAAACAGTTTATTTTTTTATTCTAACATTTTAATTAATGAACTAATGCCTGAGTACTTATTATATGCCCAGGAATTATAATTATGGATGTTGCAGACCATTTAACGTATTTTTGAATTTTATTGATAAAATTTTATTTTAGACATGTTATTTTTCTAGGAATAAAGCAAGTTTAAATGCTAAGGAAATTTTATAGGCTTTTCATGTCTGTCTCCAATCACTTGATCTCATGGCCATATAATTTTACAGTATTCTCAAAGTGTTAAAATCACACTTTTGCTAGTTTTCATTTTTCCCTACTTTTCTTTCTCTTGTGGAGTACAAAGAATAAATGCTGTCATGGGATTAACATTTGAAAGAAAGTGATAATAGAAATGAGGAATATGTAATATTTCATATTATAGGTATTTCAGAGGCAAGATAATCAATGGAATTAACTGACAAAATGAAATTCACCTGTGCTCTAAATGATTGAAACCAATGTATTAAGACAGTGAAGAAGTAAACTACCCGAATCCAGGCATCATGATATTAATGCTACTAAAAGAAAATTACCTGATTCAAAAGATTTCCTTACACAGTGATTACTATACAATGATTCTCAGAAACTACATAGAGACAAATAATACAAATCTATAAATATTATTCTATAGTATACCTAAACAGTTAAGAGTAAAGAGACCTGAATACTAAATATATAACTACATATTTTAAAGCATATATCAGAAAGTCAATTTAAGTAGAATGCCAGGTTCACCTGCAAAAGGGTGTAAGTAGCAACAACATTACCTGAGGCGCTGCAGAGCTTATTGAATGTGTTCACAAAATGACTACAATCTCTCTGGGAAGTTGCCGACAGTACGAAGGTGCCACAGAACTCACATAAGTGGAGCTGCGTAAGTGGAATATGTAACAAGGCCAAGGCATCCATATTTTGAATATTTAAATAATTTTTGGTACACAGAATACTTGCCATAAACAAGTGGTTCAATTAAAAAATTACTTTTGCTGTAGTCCTTAGAAGGTGCATGTTCTATCTTAAACTCAGCAGTAGCTTACACCCATACAGGGAGGAGGTGATTTATAATCATTATTAAATTGATTTTTACAAATCAATACATGTCAAAAAATAAAATAGAAAATGATGAAGTATAGAGGAAATAAATTATATTTTATTGATCTTTGCATTACAAAGTACCAAATAATCATAAAATGTTTGATGATTTGAAGTATTTTAAATTATAAAATTCATAATTTACCCCAATCATATTTTTTGCAGATAATGAATATATGCACTTTTAAAATTTTGATTATTCCATCATTTAACTGTAGCTATTTTAAGAATAATCTATTCTCCCTACCACATGACTTAAGTCAAGTAAAAGAAAGTAAAAGTAATATATAATATGTAAGTATTACTATATATATTTTATATATATGTATATAATATATAAACAAAAGAAACAGGGTAGATTGGCATATTTGGGCATGTCAGTAGTAAGTTCCAATAGCCAGCTGATATTATGATTGAAAGGAGAGAGTGACATACTTTCATGAAAACCTTAAATAAGTCCTATAGTCATTCTATGTGTCTAGCCTAGTTGGCATTATTTCAAAGAAAATTTTGTTTTAATGTTTAATGTAAAAAATAATAGATTTATGCAGAATGGTTGAAAATATGTAACAGAGTGTACATATCCAGAAATATTTATCTTTTTAAAAACAGGCTAAATACTAGAAATAACTTTTAGCTTCAGGGATCATATTACAGTGTCTTCCTTTTTTTTATTTAATGAAATAAAATATCAAAAGGGTATTTGATATTTTGATTTTAATGGAAGGAAAAATTATCAAAGCATTTAGAATAGAAAATTATGTAAAAATACATTAGTGCTGAAATAAGACAAAATTATAATTATTTGCAGACAAAATTATGTGCAGACTATAGTTTTGTATGTATAAAATCTAAAGAAATCAGTGAAAAGTAAGTAAAAACAATAGACTGTATCTGGGTGAGTGATTGCAAAATTTACAAACAGCAACATGTTACGAAGTGAAAAAAATTATGAAAAATTATGGTTTAATATCAGCACAAATTAAATAGTAAAACTAGAAAAATGTTCAGAATTTATGGAAATATACTGAAGTAGAAATATAAAAGAGTAAAAACAACTATTAGGGAATACTATAATGCTCTCTTTATTGTTCACTACCTATTACTTCTACAATATCTCAATATTTTGAACCTGTGTTGCTTCCTAATTTAGTCTAAAAGTAGAAAACTATGTGCATATAAAAAAGTTCCGTTATTTTATTTTTAAAATATGAATAGTTATTCACATAGGGTTTTATACAGGCATATAGAATTATTAAAAAAATAGTTAATAAACACAATCTAAAACATGCATATGAAAATCTTAAATAAGCACGTAAGTGCCAGTTTCAGGATGGTATAGAAGGCAATACAGTTGATCCTTGAACAACATGGGTTTGGACTGCACAGGTCCTATTATAAGCAGATTTTTTTCAACCAAACGTGGATTGAAAATACAGCATTTGAGGGATGTGAAACCCATTTATACAGAGGGCTGACTTTTCCTATGCGGGGATTCTGTAGGGCCAACTTTAGGACCTGGAGTATGTGTAGAGTTGGGTACACATGGGAGTCTTGGACCAATCCCCCGAGTACACCAAGGGACAGCTGTAATTTAAGATGCACCTAAATATAAATTTATAATAAATATCTAGCAGGTTATGTTAAAACATTGGAAAACATTTAAATGCTTATAAAAGTATCAGTAAACATGTTCTATGTAAATACTAAGGCAATTAAACATTTTAAACTATTTAGTGTTCAGCATCTAATATTCAGTGAAGGAAAGCTAGGTAAAGATGGGCACATACATATGATACAAAGCATTATGCATCATTCAGTCTCTTCTCCTTCCCATTCGACCAATTCCCATGGAAACATCCATAAACATACAGATTAATAAACACAATATTAAAAGGAAACACTATTATTCAGGGATTATTTCTGAGTTTGAAACATTCAGTTATTAGGTCTTAACTTAATGTTTCATACCCAGAAATAACCCCTGAACAGTGTTTGAAACACAAAAATAATCCCTGAATAGCATTAAGTTATTATCTATTTAATTAAGGCATTACGGTATTGTCTATTTATAAAATGGTTTTGAATTTAGCATAAATGATGTATGCTTTCGGTTAGATAAAGTCATAATCAAGTCTCCCACCTGCAGCCTTTAAAACAAGATGAAGTAGAATTAGTGCTTTCAAATGCTACTTCTAAATAGATCACACGTAGGCAGTTATTCCTAAAATACTGAGGGCAGTGTACAAGATAGTGGTACCCTCAAACCATTTAATAACTGGCGCATTAAGATATTTTACTTAAAATAGCATTAACATGTGAACTAACTGGAACTGTTCAAATCCACTGGTAAAATACTCACTTGTCATTTGGGTCCACACTAATGTACCAGAACACCTCCAGATTAATGGTTGTTAATCCTATCTATATCTTAGAATCTTCTATGGAGGAAGTTCTAAAATTACCATGCCAGAGCTCTGGGATTGAAGCCAGACAAGACTTTTAAAGTCTACCTAGGTAATTCTAATGTGCAACCAGGCTAGAATCACTATGCTACATGAGATTTAAACCTCCTTCCTGCCTCCCAAGTGAGATTCCTTCCCTTAAAGGATTAATATCAATTTTTGCTTCTGGAAAGGACATCAGAACAATACAACATTTTATTTGGAATCATTTGCTTGTAATATTATATATTATAAATTGCTTTTTAATGCATTAAAGCATATGGACGCAGGTTACATTTTGATATATGGCTTCAAGAACTGGAAACAAATTACTTGAAGCTAAAAATGTAAAAGGCAGCTACAAAGGGCTTGGACAGAGATAGCTGACAGCTGCTGTAGAGATCAGCTACTATAGGATTTCTCCCATCACATCTCTGCATCTTGTCATGGTCTATCCCATTCTTCTTTCTCTATAAACAAACTGGTTTCTCTATTTTCTTAGGTGCTGCTCCATCATAATTTAGTTTATCCATACATAGAATGTGATGGTTAACCTGATTGTTTTTGCTAAGTCAGTCTCATTATCCTGAAGGGAGGCTGCCCTTGGATCAAGACCTCAGCACAGGTTTAACGCTTGGTAGCAAAACTCACAATAACCAAGGGTTCTATTATGTGAGTAGGGAAGGTTCTCCAAAAAGGCATCATTCATGGATGAACGAGGGCACACAGCAGTGAATGACAGTTCCGGTTAACACTAGAGAGTTGCCCAAGACATTCAGGCTAACACTGGAGGTGTTAAACATAACACTAGTTATGTTTAAGGAAACACAAACAACTTTTCTTAAAAACTAGTGAAACTGTTTTTACTAGGATATTTCCATGAAATTAACATGCCTACAATCATGTTGCATCTTTTAGGAACATAAATATAACTAAGCAGTTAGTTCTGTGCTCATTTGAAGGTGTCAGTATTATTTGCCAAACAATCATGCTATTCAGTTGTGTGAAAAACAATGTTTACAAATAAATAACATATACACTGGTGCTCTTGCAAATTGTATTGACACAATTTCACTAGCTTGTTTCTGAAAACTTTCTCACATTTAAGTCGTGAACCATCTTACCTCATTGTTGAGAGCTGCTTTCCCTTTTTACCTATACTATGCCAAAAAGGGCTTCATCATTTTATAACTTTATATATGTTATTTCCTGATTCATTAAGAGAAAGGACAATATTATAAAGGTGAATCCCATTTGAAGAGTAGCCAGTATCAGTTATAAGATCTTAGAGAATGGCAAATAATAACATATTAGCATATTGATGCATCAATTACATGACCTCCACCTATCATTAAAAGTATAAAAGATAAAATTTAGTCTCTTGTTTGAAATGTTCTCCTTACAGTAAATTTTTATCATATTTTATATTACGACTTACTGTATGTTACAAATAAAATTTGGTAAATTATACAACTTTCTATTTACTAAATATATCTTGAGTGGAATGATTCCAAAATAATCATTAACTTTGTTGAAGTTGTTAAAGCCTTTAGCTCTAATGACCTATTTACAAAAAAATACAAGACACAGGTATATATAATAAAGAAGATTGCAATCAGCAAAATCCAGAGCATGCAAAACTGACAGACACAATGAAAACCAACTGGCTTTATTTAATAATCACAAAAGAATGAAAAGAATTTTTAAAAGAGAAAGAGAAAAAGTCTATAAACTGAGACCTAATAAGCACATCTACCAATGGCAATGTATAGACCTTATTTGAATGCTTATTTAAGAAAAAACGCTGCCAAAGTTATTTGCAATAATCAGAAAATTTGAACACTGCATGTTCAATGATATAAAGAATCAATCTTTATCCATATCCAGCTTAAATATTTTTGGTTAACGTTGAGGACAATTAACTTTTTCCTGTTTCTCCTAAAGTAAAAATGTCCAGTATCTGGTAAAATCTTACCTAAGAGTTCTGCAGCTCCATTACAAAACATCAGATTAGTGGTTTTCTAATACTATAATATTCACTAGTGGCATAAAACAGAAATTCTTTCTTTAAGTGTGTTCAATCTGGTTGCTTAGGAAAGTTTCTGCTTATGTCCAACATCATCTGCTCTAAAACGTATTCCAAGTTAAGTGCTGCAGAAAAATATTCTTTTTTTACAGGGAGAAAATAATATTTTAAAAAGGAATGAATAACAAATATACCCACCATACCTAATTTACTATTTAATGTTTGTAATCAGCTTAAATTTCTGCACAGACAAATATGTGATTATTTTAAGCATATGGAGTTCAGCTTAATATGTCTCAATGAGTTTTTTAGCCATAACAAAAGCTATCTTCTACTATATAGCTGGAGCTGAAAAGATATCAAAATTCAGGTTCTACTCCTTAAATTTAAAATAGAGACCAAGAAACTCTACTTGCTTAGGGTCACAACTAGGACTAGATTCCAGACCTAATCCTAGACCATTATTTTTCTAACACAGTATAACTTATGTCAAAGCTCTCTGTATGATCTATCATTTCTGGCTTTAGGTAGGAGAGAAAAGAGGGAAATAAGTTAAAGTTCCAAAATAATTTTATATTACTATTTCTAGTAAAATGTCAGCTGGGTAGCCTCAGAAAAAGGCTACATTTCAATAATTAAAATTGCTAATATTCAGTATTAGCTTCTATACTTAAATAAAAATGAATCATGTCCTTTGCTTGGTTTGAATATTGTTTGTGCCCTCAAACTCATGTTGAAATTGATTGCTATTTTGGTACGGTTTTGAGGTAGGGCCTAATGGGAGGTATTTCGGTCATGAGGGCAGATCCCTTGGAAATAGTCTCAAGAGAGTGAGTTTTCACTATTGCGGGGCTGGATTAGTTAACACAAGAGCAAGACGTTATAGATCAAGGTGAGGTTCCTCCTTAGGTTTGTTTTCTCTTTGTACATACTCGCTTGCTTTTCTGCCATGTTTTGATGCAGCACATAGTACTCAACAGAACCCAAGCAGATGCTGGTGCCATGTTCTTGGGCTTTCCAGCCACCAGAATTATAAGCCAAATAAAACTCTTTTCTTTATGAATTACTCATTCTCAGGTGTTCTGTTACAGCCAAACAAAGAAAACTTGTAACAAGGAGTGGGATTATTGCTATAAAGATACCTAAAACCTTTGAAGCAGCGTTGGAACTGGATAATGAGCAGAGATTGCAAAGGTTTACAGGAGTATGCTAGAGAAAGCCTGCATTGCAGTCAGTCAATGAAGCATTACAGGCAGTTCTGGTGGGTGCTCAGATGAAGAATTAGAACTTCTTAGAGACTGTTTCAGTGGTTTTGACCAAAACGCTGAAAGAAATATGGATAGTAAAGACATTATGAGGTTACAGACGAAAATGAGGAGTATCTTATTGAGTAATGAAATATACCACACCCTTGTTATATGGTTGTAAAGAACTTGGTTGCAGTGGGGCCAAACCCTAGTACTTTATGAAATGAAATTTCAGAGTGATAAACTAGAATTTCTGGCAGAATAAATTTGAGGGAATAAACTGCTCAAGAAGCTCTATAGTTACTGCTAACTGCTTACATGGAGCTATGGGAGTAAAGGGATGATCTAAAGGCAGAATTTATAAACAAAAGGGAAACAGAGACTAAAAACATAACCGTGTGACGAAAGATATGTTCAGGAGATTGTGCCAAAACTGTGGGCCCAGTGACCATTTTGTGCTAAGGAGAGTAGCACAGATCAAAGGGATCCAGGTGCTGTGTAATCAGGACATTGGAAAGGCCTAGAGGCCTGAGAGAGCAAAATTTATTTCAGGGGACAGAACCAAGGCACTCTTCATAGGCTTAGTGTCGAAGGCCACCCCAGGACATTGTATCCCATATTCTAGTCATTCTGGTTGCTCCAGCCATGCCTAAAAGCAGTCTCAGGAGTTGATCAGGCTGCTGCTTCATAAAATATAAGCTGTAACCCTGGGTAGCACACAGCCATAGCTCATGTGGGCCAAGGTATGGCCTATTTTTCAAATCCAGAGGGCAGAAGCAGTAAGCAGGTGCACTAAATATGTTGGCTGTGGGGTCCTGGGAGCTTCCACCTAGCTATTAAAGGATGTAGTAAACAACTGGAAGGCCCAAGCAGAAATCTGCCACAGGGGCAGAGCTGCCACAGAAAATCCCTTCAGGGCAGTGTCTAGTGGAGCCATGGGAACAGGGCTGCCCTTGAGACTCAAGAATCATAAAGCCACCAGCAGCATGAAACACCTGCCTGGGAAAGCGACAGGTTCTCTAGGACAGCCTGTGAGGACAGCCATATGGGCTATACCCAGCCAATCCTTGGGACAGGGCTACCTGAGGATTTGAGAACCTAATCCTTGTACTAGTGTGTACAGAAAACACACTGAAAATTTATTTTGAGGTTTTAAGATTTAATGTCTGCCTTCCTGGATTTCAAACTTACATCGGGCTTGTCACTCTTTTGTTTTGGCCTATTTATCCCTTTTGGAATGGGAATGTTTACCCAATGTCTGTATCACTGTGTCTTGGAAGTAAATAACTTGTTTTGTTTGTTTCTGTGTTTTAATTTCACTGGCTCTCAGATAGGACTTGAACTTTGAAGTTTTAAGTTTGTGCTGAAACAAATTAAGACTTTTAGTACTATCGGGATGGACCAATTGTATTTTGTATCGTAAGAAGGATGTGAGTTTCAGGGGCAGAATGCAATACCTTGAATATGGGTTTTCCCCTCCGAAAATCATGTGGAAATTTGACTGCCATTGTGGCAATGTTAGGGGGATGAAGCCTAATGGGATGTGTTTGAGTCATAGGGGCAGATTCCCCAAGAATCACTTAATCCAGTATCATGAAAGTGAGTTCTTGTTCTTGTAGGGCTGAATTAGTTAATGAGAGACCAGGTTTCATAAAGCAAAATTCCTTCTCTTGCTTTTTTCTTCGCACAGAATTACTTGGCTGCCCACTTCTCTACAATGGCTTGAAGCACATAGCCTTCAAGAGAAGTCAAGCAGATGCTGGCACCATGCTCTTGGACTTTCCAGCCACCAGAATTTTGAGCCAAATAAGCCTCTTTCCTTTATGAGTTACCCAGTCTCAGGCATTCTGTTATAGCAACACAGTTTTGGTACTAGGAGTGGTTCTAGATAAACACAATTTTAAGAATAAATCTTAATTGGTTTTAGGGTTTCTGGAATTGGCTCTCTGGTATGATTAGATCTAAGACTGCTAAAGACTGTATTTCTAATAGTACAGAGAACACTGACAGTCCACAGCATTAACTGTTTATAGAAATATGCAAAATGAATGCATTTGATACTCCTAATTCACCACTTAGAAGCAGGAAATTTGGTGGCTATATATGATACTTTCAAACACTTATGGAAAATCAGGGAACATAATTATATTGGTTGGTTGCTCTAACATTGCTGGACAAATTGATGAAAGAAAAAGATGAGCTCAGGGATTCAAATTATTGGCTCCAGATGTGCATAAATAGCCTAAAAGCTTCTAAATATGCCCTGAAGAAGAATCTTCTCTCCTGTAGTCATAGGGTTGAAATTGCTGCAAATCAAACATAAGCCTTCATTATGCAATTAATTGGCTGATGTACAATGAAAGGCAAACTTTCAACCACTCAGGGTATCTACTGTTAAACAAGAACTTTGGGAAACAATAGGACCCTGTTGGGATGAGGATGTGTGGGAGGACAATTATGACGCTGCAGACATTGGGCTTCTAAATTTTTATTAGTGTTTTTTGCCAGAGGAAGTAGCCTCCCCACCTCCAATACCATCCCCAGTGGTATTAGCCTTTCTACTTCTTTCTGAGGGAATTAACCATGCATTTCCTAGGGAAACGGTAATGGCTTCCCAATTCACTCACCAAGCAACACAATGCTTCTTTTCTTCAGGACCCATCTCCACCACCCCTTTTTGCTTCTAGACCTATAACTACACTCAAGTCCCAGCAGACACTCAAAGGTGTGGTGCACAGTATAATTCATAAGAAGGTATGCTACACTCCAGAATAACTACTTAAGTTTTCTAATTTATACATTCAGAGATCCATGGAGCTTATGTGGCAATGGATATTAAGAGTGTGAGTAATGGTGGAAAAAAACATAAAATTGGATTAGCCTGAATTTATTGATATGGACCCACTAAGCAAAGATTCTGCATTTAATGTTGTAGCTCAGGGAGTTCAAAAAAGATGCTAATACTTTAGTTGCTTAGCCAAAATGCGGATCAAAAGTGGCCCGACATGGGTAAGATGAAGATGCCTGATCTCTCTTGTTTTAATGTAAGGAAAGGGATTCAAAGGCTTGCGGAGATTGGAATGTTAGAGCAGCTTTGTCACATAAAACCTACCCAACCACACTGGGAGAGTTCAGAAGATATGATTTTCACCAATACTTTGAGAAATAGATTGATGAGGAGACTACCAACATCCTTGAAGCGCTCTATGACTGTTCTTTTCTATATGCTAGACTTTACAATGGGAACTGCAGTCACTCAATTGGAAAGCTTACATCTAGTGGATGTAATTTTATTTCTGGGTAGCAGGGCCCAGGTGGCAGTACTCAGCCACCTAAGGCAAGGTGGGTATAGTTAGCAAAATAAACAGTAGAGGCAAAGGAACAGTTAAAATATTCTGACTCATTCAGACCTATGATGCTAGCTAATAAACATAATGTTGCTAGAAGTGAAACAGATGAGAACCCTACTGCATTCTTACTTGATCTGTGTAAGCAGAAAACTCCCAGTTCAAGTGAACAAAAGTCTAACTCAAAGGATAACAGAGATCATGGCCTTTCAATCAATTTCCAGACTTGAGCCAGCTTGCAGACCTCTAAATGAAAGGGAAGTCCTTAAAGAAGGACCTGGGTACAATACTGAAAATTTATACTGTTAATTTTTGTCCAAATCCTCACCCAAAGGGACCTCCAGCATTTTACCAAGGTAACTGTGCATTGAAAAAAGGGAAACAATCAGACATTCTGAGGACTTCTTGACACTGGCTCTGAATTCATACTGATTCCAGAACACAGAAAACATCACTGTGGCCTCCAATCAGGGTAAGGGCTTTTGGAGGTAAGGTGATCAGTGGAGTTTTAGTTCCAGTATGGCTTACAGTTGGAACAGTGGGTCTCCAAACCTATCCTGTGGTCATTTCCACAGTTCCAGAATGTATAATTGGAATAAACGTATTTATCAGCTGCCAGAATTCCCTCACTGGTTCCCTAACGTGTGGAGATGAGGGATATTATGATGAGAAAAGCCAAATGGAAGGCATTAGAGCAGACTCTACCTAAGAAAATAGTAAACTGAAAATACTGCACCCCTGAAGGGATGACAGAGATTAGTACCACCACCAAGGACTAGAATGACATGGGATGATGTTCCCCACTAACTCTATTGTAAGCTCAACCAAGTGACGACTTCAATGGCAGCTGCTGTACCAGATGTGGTTTCATCGTTTGGGCAAATTAACACGTCTCCTGGTACTGATATGCAGCTCTTGATCTGGCAAATGCCTTTCTCACAATCCCTGTCCATAAGGCCCACCAGAAGCAGTTTGCTTTCAGCCAGCAAGGCCAGAAATATACCTTCACTTGTCCTATCTTAGAGTATATCAACTCTCCAGCCCTATGTTATAATTTAGTTTGCAGGGGCCTTGATTGCCTTTCCCTTCCACAAGAAGTAATGGACCACACTGGTCCATTACATTAATGACATTATGCTGATTAGACCTAGTGAGCAAAAAGTAGCAACTGCTCTGGAGTTATTAGTAAAAGATTTGTGTGTCAGAGGGTAGAGAAATAAGTCCAGCTAACAAAATTCAGAGGTCTTTTACTTCAGTAAAATTTCTAGGAATCTCATGGCATGAGGCATGTCCAGATAGCTCATCTAATGTGAAATATAAGTTGTTGGACCTGGCCCCTCCTACAACCAAGAAAAAGACACAGTGCCTACTGGGCCTATTTGGATTTTGGAAGCAAAAAATTCCTTATTTGTGTGTGCTACTCCAGCCCATTTATCAAGTGATCCAAAAGCTCCTAGTTTTGAGTGAGATCCAAAACAGGAGAAGGCTCAGCAATAGATCCAAGCTGCTGTAAAAGGTGATCTGCCACTTGGGCCATATGATCTAGCAGATACAATGGTAAGTGAAGTGTAAGTGGCAGACAGATATAAACAGCATGCCTGTCACTGACACCTCATGTACCACTATATCTGCTAGATCATATGGCACTGTAGGTGAATCACAGCAGAGGATTTTGGAGCAAGTCCTTGCCATCGTCTAGAGTTAACTACTTTCCTTTTGAAAGACAGATCTTGGCCTGCTACTGGATCTTCATAAAACTGACAACTTGACCACAGGCCACCAAGATACCATGTGACCTGAGCTGCCCATCATACATTGGGTGCCATATGACCCACCAGGCCATAAAGGTGACATGCACAGCAGCACTCTGAGCAGGTCCTGAAGGCACAAGTTACATGAAAAGGTGGCCAAAATGCCCATGGTTCCTTCCCATAATACCCTGCCTTCTTTTCCCGGCCTGCACCTATGGTGTCATTGGAATAGCTGAGAAAGGTAAAGAAGACTAGGGCCTGGTTTACAGATGGATAAACCCAGCACTGCAACCCCATTATGAGACATCCCTGAAGGACACTGGTCAAGAGAACTCTCAGTGGCAAAATTTTGGCCAGTGCACCTGGTTTCACACTTGGCTTGGAAGAAGAAATGGCCATATGTGCAATTATGGTTTGGCTGGATGGTCAAGGACTTGAAAATAACATAATTGGGAAATTAGTGACAGAAATTTGGGAAGAGTAATGTAGAGTCTGAGTGGGCAAAAGGTACCTATATCTCATGGGAAAACTCTCCAAAGGGTGATCTCAGTAGAGAATACTTTTAATAATCAAGTAGATAGGATGACCCCTTCTGTGGGTACCAGTTAGCCTCTTCCTTTGGTCACACTAATCATTACCCAATGGGCTTATGAACAAAGTGACCAAAGTTGCAGGGGTGAAAGCCATGCACGGCTTCAGCAATGTGAACTTCCAGTCACCAAAGCTGAAGTGGCTATCACTGAATGCCTAATCCGCCAGCAGCAGAGACCAACATTAAGCCCTGACTATGCCATTATTCCTTAGGGTGATCACCCAGCTACCTGGTGGCAGGTTGAATACACTGTACCAACTTCATCATGAAAGGAGTAAGCATTTTGTCCTCACTGGAATAGTCATTTACTCTGGAAATGGATTTCCCTTCCCTGCAAACAATGTTTCAGTCAAAACTATTATCTGCACACTTACCCACCATCACAGAAGCCCACACAGCATTGTTTCTGGCCAAAAAACTCACTTTACAGCAAAAAATGATGCAGGAATGGTCTCATGCACATGGAATTCACCGGTCTTACCATGATCCCCAGCACTCTGAAGCAGGTGGCCTGACAGAATGATAGAAAGGCCTTTTGAAGTCAGAGTTAAAGCACCAGAGAGGTGACAATGCTTTGCAGGACTGGAGCAAGGCTCTCCAGATGGCTCTATATTCTCTGAATCAGATATGGTGCTGTCTCTCCCATAGCGAGGATTCAAGGATCTAGGAATCAAGGGATGAAAATGGGAGTGGTACCACTCACCATGAACCCTAGGGACCCACTAGTAAAATTTTTCCTTCCTGACCCTATGACATGTTCTGCTGACCTTGAGATCTTACTTCCAGAGGGAGGGAAGCTCCCACTAGGAAAAACAACAATTATTCCATTGAACTGGAAGATTGCCACAGGCCACTTCAGGCTCTATGCCTCTGAGCCAATAGGCTAAGAAGAAAGTAATGTTGTTGGCTGGAGAGATTGATTCAGGAAACCAAGGGGAAATCGAACCATTGCTCTACAATGGAGATAAGGAAGAGTAACTCTGGAACACAGAAGATCCCTGACAGTGTTTCTTAATATAACCATGCCCTGTAACTCAGTTCAATGGGAAACAACAATACTCCAATCCAGGCAGAACTAATGGCTCAGACCCTTCAGGAATGAAGATTTGGGACACTTCACCAGGTAAAGAACCATGACCAGATGAGATGCTTGCTGAAGAAAAGGGGGAAATAGAATGGATAGTAGAAAGTGGTTACAAATACAAGCTACAATCACATGGCCAGTTAAAAAAATGAGGACTTTAATTGTAATAAGTATTTCCTCACTGTTTTGTTAAGATGTTTGTGTATCTATACATACGTATTAAATAAATATCTTTGATTTTTCTCTTATTTGTTTATAAAGGAACTTAAGACTTACTGACTTTTTATCACTACTTAAGTATTGTCAACTTTATGTCTTAATATTTAAGTTATAGGACGTCAATAGAAAAGTAAACCTCACTCAAGAACTTTACCTCCTTCTGGGAAAAGAATTGGCATGTTTTGGGTTGTACACAGGATAGTTATATTGTGTTAGGTGTAATTATGACCTTGTCATTGGCTTTATTCAGAATTAACTATGCTTTACGAAGATGCATATAGGTGTCATGTTGACAAGAGGTGGACTTGTGATGGATAATTTTATGTGTCAATTTGGCTGGAGTAACAGATGCTGGTGAAGCACTGCTTCTGGATATTTCTGTGGCAGTGTTTCCAGAGAACATTGCTGTTTGAGTCAGTAGACTAAAAGAAAGAGCTACCCTTCATGTGGGCAGACACCATACAATTGGCTGGTGATCTGGCTGGGACAGCCAGGCAGAAGAAGGGCGATTCTCTTTTTGCCCTCTCTCTGTCTTCCAGAGCCTTTTCTCCTCCTGCTCTTGGACATAGACTCTAAGTTCTTTGGCTTCTGAACTCTGGGGTTTGCACCAGCAGCTCCCTGCAGGCTGTTGGCCTCAGATTAAGGGCTGCATTTTTGGCTTCTCTGGTTCTGAGGTTTCCAGATTGAGCCATGCTACTGATTCTCTGGTTTTCCAGCTTGTGGATGGCCTAACATGATACTTTCTTCACCTCTGTAACAATGTGAATTTCCTCTAATAAATGCCCTTTCACATAACTTATTGATTCTGTTTCTCTGGAAAACCCCACACATGACCATAAAGACAAGTACCTCTGTCATGACTTAACTGTATTATGTTAAGTAGGTCATGTCACCTCTCAGCATCAGCTGCATCAAGTACATAATAAGATGCTTTTTAAGGTAATTGCCATCACTGATGATGATTCCAAATTATAAAATTTAGATAATTTTAAAGTTTCTTCATATGTCAATTTAGGTAGTAGAACTGTCACTTAAATTTTAATAGAACAGTAAGCTTCCTGTTATATATGCAGAGGCCAATAATTAGTATGTTATTAATTTTTTCAAGTCTTCCTCTTCTGTAGACTGTAATATTGCAATATACTCCTAACTAGCTCTCCCCTGTGGACTGTCCATACTGCTGCCAGGATGGCTTTTTACAAATAGAATCTCATTAGGCTAAAAATCCTTTTATGGCTATGGCTTCCCCAACATTTGTAGAATAAAATCCAAAGCCTTAATGTATCATAGAAAGTGCTTTGGCCCAGCGTGGTGGCTCGCACCTGTAATCCCAGCACTTTGGGAGGCCAAGGCGTGTGGATCACCTGAGGTCTGGAGTTCGAGACCAGCCTGACCAACATGGAGAAATCCCTTCTCTACTAAAAATACAAAATTAGCCGGGTGTAGTGGCACATGCCTGTAATCCCAGCTACTCGGGAGGCTGAGGCAGGAGAATCGCTTGAACCCAGGAGGAGGAGGTTGTGGTGAGCCAAGGTCGTGTCACTGTACTCCAGCCTGGGCAACAGGAGTGAAACTCCGTCTCCAAAAAAAAAAAAAAAAAAAAAAAGTGCTTTGCACACTGGTTTCCACCTGCCCCTCAAGCTTCCTCTTGACTGCTTTCCACATTTCTGTATCCTCAAATCACTTTATGTAAACTCACTGACATTTTTATAGTGTAGGTAACTTGAAACAGATAACCCAAATTTTGTTGATTATCTTTTATGTTTAATAGAAACAAACAAAAATTCTAGGACAGAAAAAATTTGCAGTAGACAAAAATTCACTCTACTTTATCAAAATTACTGCCAGATTCTGATTTTAGCTACATTTACTGTTTACAGAATAACATGGCCAGTCAGCATCACATTTAAAAACACACAAACACAGACAAAATCCTGCCAATATCTCCAAAACAATCTACTATACATAAACCTGGAAGGTGAAGAGGGTCCGTTTTTTGCCTAATTGATACTGCCTTGGTAAGGTATCATGAATCTATAAAGGCTGCAACTATTTTCAAATACAGGTTTTTGGTCTTTTCCAAATACATTAATAGCAGTTTATTAAAAAGCATAATCCCTGTTATATGACAAATGATATTCCATGTGCTAGGATACAATCATGAACAAAATAAAGCGCTTGTTCTTTATGGACTTTCACGCTATGGAAGGATGTAAACAATAAAAATCAATAAAGATGTGTTAGATCAGTACTAGGAAGAAAATAAAGTAAGGTAAGAAAGAGAAAGATATTTTAGATAGAAGTCAGAAAAGACCTCTCTGATAAGGTGATATCTAAACAGAAATCTGACTAACAGGAAGAAGCCAGTCCTGCAGACATCTAGGCAACAAACAGAAGGAGGAAAGGGCCTTCAGAGAGGGGAGTTTGTGGTGACCCAACAGGAGGGAATCCTGCAGGGCCTGAGTGGTAAGAGTAAGGGAGAAAATGGTAGGAAGTTAAATCCTAGAGGTAATGGATGTATGGCTTAGGGTAAAGACAGGGCCAAAACAGGTAAGACCTTGTAGCAGTTACCAGTTATGCACAAGGCACTCTATTTTTGCCTTATATAAATTATTTAGTCTTCATAGCAACCCTATGAGGTAGATATCATCTCCATTTGAGAGATGGAAAACAGATTTATAGAGGTAAAACAAAATTTCCAAACATTGTATTGTAAAAGGCAGTACTGGGATTTGACCTCATGGTCTACGTGATGTCAAGGCATTTAGCAGGCACTAACATATATATGTTTTATGAATGCCTTATATATGTATTTTTTACCAATAAACCAGTTTTTAGCTGCCTGTTTATACAGGCTTACGGGTTAAATACTTTGTAAACAGTGTAAATTAACAATTTGGCTTCTGCTGAATAAGAAATTATCACCTACTACAAAGTTAGGGTAGGCATAGAAATGAAGCAAGATTTTAGCTAAACAAAAAGAAATAAAATAAGGTTTCAAAATGTTGCTACTATCATATAATTCCTCACTGTAGTAAATTGAAACTTGGCAAAACTACAAAGAAAAGAAAAAAACATAAAAAGAAAATGGGACATAGATTTTAGTAAGCGGATAGAATTGAGACGACTTAATCATCAGCTTTGTGGTTGTCTTAAAAAATGCAGAATATGCCTTTATTTGTATGTCAAAATTTGGTTATCTGTTTCAAGTTACAGTTACAGTGTAAAAACTTTTAAGCTCTGATTTTTGTTGAGTATATTACTTCCTTCATTTATAGGATATTTTGCTAGAGAAATTAAAGTTATCATTGCCCTTAAATTAACCTAAAAAGAAAAACAATCATGCCATTATAATAATAAAGAATTGAGAGGAATTATGATAAAGACACTGCTACTTGAAATTGCCTTCCTACTTTTATAGAGAAAATAGAATGCGTAAGATGAAAGCATAGATAAGTTGCTAAATGATATTAAAACTCCACTTAATGCACTAGTCATAAATTTTAAGTATGTCATTTGGAATTTATCTTTTGCATTGCAATAAATATAAGGAATGCAGGGAACCACTAAAGTGTATTTGCTTGTAGCATAGTTTTGTTACATAGCTACTAGCAATTTAAACATCTTTACCGTGAAAATTGCTAACATGCACACAAAGTCATTACTACTTGTATATTTCCAATACAAAAACATATGGATAATTTACCACTTCCCCATTACTATAATTTTAGCTTAAAATAATCAACAAGAATTTTTTATGTTGTTGGATTTTGTTTTTTTAATTATCATAATATTTTTAAATTGCAGATACTTCATAAACAAGTATAACACAAGAAAAATAACTGTTGCCAGTCTTCCAAAAAGCATGTTAGCAGTTTTGAGGTAGGAGGCAGGACTTAACTCCAGAAGTGGGGCTCAGATTGAGGACCAGCTAAAACAGGGCCAGGGCTAAAGCGGCTTTCATTCAGACACACCCACCAGTGTGCCGTGTCAATTTACCACTGCCGTGGCAATACCCAGGAGTTACCACCTCGTTCCATGGCAATAATCCAATGACTCAAAAGTGACTACCCCTTCCCTAAAAATTTCTGGATAAACCACCACTTAATCTGCATGCAATTAAAAGTGAGTGTAAGTATGACCGCAAAACGGCCCTAAGCTGCTACACTCTGCCTACAGGGTAGTACTGCTCTGCAGAACAGTCACGTAGCTGTTAACACCCCTGGAGCTGTAACACTGCCTCTTTAGTAATGCTGTTTTCTTCTACCTTTGGCTTGCCTTTGAATTCTCCCCTGGGTAAAGCCAAGAACCCTCACGGACTAAGCTCCACTTTGGGGCTCACCTGCCCTGCACCAGCTTGACTCCCGATGCAGGGTGAAGACAGAAGACAGTGATTGGTGATCTGGGAGTGGCAGCCTGTAAGGACAGTGATGTGCAGGATGGCCGTCTTGAGAAGTGGCAGTCAGTGATCAGCAAGGGTAGTGGTCAGCAGGATAGCGGTTGGCAGGGCAGCAGTTGGCAAGGCAAGGAGGGGAGAGACAGAGAATCAGGGCTATATCACCTGAGCTCTAACACTACCCAAAGGCTCTCTTCAGAGCCATCATTTACCCTGGCAAACAGTGGAACAAATCAAACAGGCAAGTAGCCATAGTACCATCTGCCTCCTGTGACACCCACCTCTCTGACAGGCAGCCCAGTGGGTTACAGACCTGTACAGGTCTCTCCCACCACAGCAGCTGAGCCCACTGGTGGGGCAGCCATAGAGCCATCTGTCTTACGTGACACTCGCCTCTCTGACTAGCAGTCCAGTGGGTTACCATCCATGCAGATTCCTCTAACTGAGACAGCTGAGCCCCACTGGGTGGCTGGTCAGGGTGGCCATAGTGCCATCTGACACCTGGGGTGGCCATAGTTCCATCTGCCTCATGTGACACCTGCCTCTCTGACCAGGATGGGTTACTGTCCAGTGCAGGCCCTTCCCACCATGGCAGAGGTGCTGAGGCCACCCAAGTTGAGGTACCTTGGAGAGATCTTCACATGGAAGATCAGTCAATGCCATTTGTGTCTGCTGAATGAGTGAGTCTCCCTTCTGCCCCCACTCCATAGTATCAGGAGAACTAGGGAATAAAGTAAAAGCCGTCAGCTAGGTGATTAGTTAGGCATCCATGATTGTTTGAATTTCCCAAATCATGTTCTTATCACCCCTTCTCCTGGTCCTTTTCTGACCCCATTGTATTGTCCCTGTATTAGTCCCTTCTTACACTGCTATAAAGAACTACTTAAGACTGGGTAATTTATTAAGAAAAAGAGGCTTAATTGACTACAGTTCTGCAGGCACAACCAAAAGCATGACTTGGAGTCCTCAGGAAACTTACACTCTTGGTGGGAGGAAAAGGGGAAGTAAGCATGTCTTGCCTTGGTGAAGCAGGAGAGAGGGTGAGTGAAGGGGGAAGGGCCACACACTTTCAAACAACCAGATCTTGTGAGAACTCACTCAGTATCATGAGAACAGCAAAGGGAACATCTGTCCTCATGATTCAATCACCTCCTACCAGCCTCCTCCTCCAATACGTAGGGATTAAAATTTGAGATGAGATTTGGGTGGGGAGACAGAGCTAAACCATATTAGTTCCATCAGTCATTTTATTTTCAGTCCCAAAATGTGTGCAGTCTTATGTTTTCTCTTAACTTTCTGCTAATTGTGTGTAGACAATTAAGGCAGGACACTTGGTTATGTGAGGACCCCTTTGTGTTGACCCTGGAATGCCAGAGTCACATTGTTCTGTGACTCCAACTTGGTGTTAGGTTCACTGTTGGCTGCTCCCTGGGTGCCCCAGGGTTTTCGGTGTTTGGTGAGGGAATCCTCATTGGCTGAAGCTTGGGCACTCCAAGTTTTCAGCATGGGTATTTTGGTCACCTCCACCCCACCAGATGCTCTGTGGATTAGGTATTGACATTCCCTCTAGGATTGTGGATTATAGCCTCTCCTCCAGGGGAATATTGATCTTGCCTTTTCTGCTCCAAAGTTAGAAATATTATTTTCCTAATAGCCAGTTGTTAGCCTCTTCCTGTGTGCTGTCTTACAACTGCCTTGCTCAAGTCTCTCTTGGTTAAAGAAATTGGGAGTTTCCAGGCCCCTGGCCTGACAGACAGCCACCTACAGTGGCAGAAAGGTGGTCACCTGAATATGTTTTTTTCAGTGTCTCCACTACTGGGCAAGTTCCCTGGCAAGTCAGGGCCTCTGAGGTCTCCCCTTGGGCAATGCTATTTACCCTTCCCATCCTCCCTTCCAGAGTCACCATTTGCTTAGCCCCTCCCTCTGCATAACCCGCTGCTTTCTGTGGAATTTAGGCTTAACATCCAACTGCCCATGTGAAGCTAATAATCTGCTTTTGTAACATATTGCTATTTATAGAAAGTGGGAAAGTAAAAGGGAAAATAAGTAGGCATTTGCTAAACTTGGTCTAACTGAAACCCTCCATAGGGATCCTTACTAACATGGGGACAGCAGGGAGAACCCCAGAGGACTCACCAGTGAGGTATTTTTTAGGCTATTGGAGCAAATTCAAATTTGGCTAAAAGAAGAAGAAACTCATTCACTACTGCAATAATGTCTTGGTTGCATACATATTGGCAAACCAACGGATTTTGCCTAAACATAGTTTTACATGTTATAATGATATTTTACAATTAGACTTATTTTGTTTAAAAGAAGAGAAATGGGAAGAGGTTCCTCATGTGCAGGGTTTTATGGTCCTTTGCTGGCTTACAATACTTGCAGGCACCAAAAAGCCATTCCCAGTGGATCCATTCCTAGTTGTTCCCCCTAGAATAGCTACACCCTCCCCAGGGTCTCCTTAGTTCCCCATTTCTGACGGTTTCCTGACAGTTCTTTAATACAGGATTCCACCTCACGGTCATCAGGCACACCTCTCCCTTATCCAACTATCCCTAGCCTATAACCCCGCTGCCTAAGAAAGTAAGCCCAACCAGTACCACCAGGACTGGAGCCCCATATCAGCTCTGTCAAACCTGTTTCCGTTGTGGGAGGTAGCTAATGGAAGTGAGAGAACACTTAGAGTCTATGAGCCATTTTCCATGTCTAATTTGGCTTTACAAAAGAAAAAATTTGGAGTTTTCAGAGAATCCAGAAAGCTTTTCTGAGGAGTTTGTTAAGTTGATCATGTTCTTTGGTTTAACTTGTCATGACTTACAAATATTATGTTTGATATGCTGTGAAAAAAAAAGCAAGAGAAAAACTGTGTGATTAAGCCAGTCAGTTATGACGAGGTTAGAGAAATAACTCAGGGCAAAGATGAAAATCCCCTTTCTTTCAGGGTCATTTGGTTGAGGCATTAAGGAAATACACTAACACAGACCCTGACTCTGCAGAAGGGCAAGCTCACCTGGGTATACATTATTCAATCTGTCCCTGACATTAGAAGGAAGCTCCCAAAAGCAACCATGAGACTTCATACACCTATGAGACAACTTTTAAATGTAGTAGTTAAAGTTCACAACAGTAGGGACAAGGCAAAAGAGAAAAAAACAAAAAGACCAAAAGAAATAGCCAAAAAGTATAATTGATAACAGTTGTTTTATGCACCTTCCCCACTGAAGGTTACCCATCTTAAGAAAATGTCATGAAAGTGGTGTCTGGGATGCCCAGACAAGAGCCACCAACTCACTGACCCCCAGATCAAAATTAGTGTGCCTACTGTGAGCAAGATGGCCATTGACAATGAGAATGTCCTAACTGTCTCTGGTGAGAGAGAGGAAAAATAGTGTCCCATCAGTACTAGAGCTAACCTTCTTCCACTAGCCCCAACAAGCTGCCTTGAACAAGTAAGCTTACTGAGAGTCTTAGACCGTTGACCCAGCAGACAGCTTCCTACAGTGGCAGGCAAACAGCTGCCCAAATATTTTTCTTCAATATCTCCATTGCTGGATGAGCTCTCTGTCGCTTGGCAACTCTTGGGTCTCCCCTTGAGCAATGCAGTTTGCCCCCTCCTTTGTTTATTTGATGCCCTGGGATCCCCTTCCCTGCCTCTTCATGTTTTCTATATTTATTGTGGCAAACAAAATTTGACCAGGTAAACAGTTCTTAATTATGTAAATAATTTGAATCTATTTGTCTTGTATAGGTCATTTTATTTAATGTGCTCGTTTAGGTGTATATACAGGTATTGTGATATATGGCGTATCCAGCATGCTATCAAATTGGCTTATAAACAGAAGAGCATTCATAAATAAGACTAGTCAAAGCTTATTAGTTTGAAGAGAATGTTATTTCTTCTGAAATTTAACCTTAAGATTTTTATGTAGGTAAATCAACTATTTTTCATAGGCTTTAAATGTTTCAAATGGCTTTAAATGGTGACTAGCTGTGCATAGTATACTGGTTCTTAGAGGTGGTCTAGATAAAACTGTTAAAAGTGAAAAAGTCAAATACATGTAAATGGAATAGATGCATAAAAAATGAAATTACTGTGTGGTTCTTAAAATGGTCTTAAATATTAAAATGGTAGAACGGTTCTCATCTATAGAATGCCAGTGTCTGATGGACACTTCAGAGCTAAGTCTTACTTGGGGTTATATAAAATATGCCAAAGAACTGTTTTCTTTAATGGGAATTTTTTTTTTCTAATTCAGAAGTTATTAAAAGGGAGGCTGAAAATGTGAGAGAGCCAGTAAGTAGATAAAAGAGTTATAAAGATTGTAATGGATAGAAAATGTATTGTTTTGCAAGGAAGTATATAAAGAAAGAATAATTTAATATGAGGAGGGATCTTCTGTAGTAAATTATTGTCCTAGAGTGAAATTGCTGGTTAAGAAAGAGGTAGTATAGGACAAGTCCAAAGTTCAAGAATGTTGTAGATCGTCTGCGTAAGTTATGATACAGTTCATAAAGGGCGATTTATGAAAGAAATTTTGTGTATAATTAAATTTGCTATGATAAAAGAAAATTGTGGTTGACATTCTACAAATCGGTCTATATATCAGAAACAAATTTTCTTAAGGTATTAATTTGCTAAATTACTAGAAATGTTGCCTTTCAATCACACAATCTATGTAAGAGCTTCTCAGATTCATGGAACTCTTTCCTTTAGCATTTCTGTCAGCTCCTGTGAGCTTTTCTCCTCTAATTATGACTGCTGCTATAGCCTGATGCTAAACTGTTTTGTCTTAGTCTATGGGACCACTGTTTTCTCCCAATATAGCTTAATTCTATGCTCATTGTTTTCCTTGATGTGTGCCATTATTTTGGCTTTTGGTTTTTGACTTTTATATTGCTTAAAAGGGTTCTGGTGACTAATGGGTATCTGCCCAACTCCATTCCTTTTGATCTATGGTTTTTGTTTTATATTCCCCCTTTTAATAAGAGTGTGCCAGAGGTAGTGTTGATGGCCAAGCTTTTATTTTGTCCTGTGCCTGTGCTACAGTAGCGTGCTGCCTACCCTAGGTTCTTTGTATCCCTCAGTAATACCTGCAACCCCTGGCTGGGGGACTTGGAGTCAGGGGAATTGTAGCCAGTTGGATGTTCTGGGCTGGACAAGAGTAGAAGTGGGTGGACACTCATTGCCTCTTGAACCCATTTAGAGCAGTGAGGGAGCCAAAAACTAGGAGTCAGGAAATGAGGTTCTAAAACTGACTTCTCCATTGATTCTGGATTTAGCTGCTGTGGTATTGGCTTGTAGTAACTAGTTCTACAAACCTTTTCCCTCACCTTTAGAATGTAGGCAATGTTCTGAAAGCTTTCCCATATAAAAATAAAATACTGCATTCCCCGCAAAGGAAGAAAAAGCTCATCTATTCAATCAGGAGACTTAGTCTTGCTAAAAACTTGGAAAGAAGGATCTCCTAAAGATCAATTACAACCGAAATGGAAGGGTCCCTTTCAGGTTTTGTTGAGTACCCCCACTGCTATTAAATTTCAGGGAATAACTAGTTGGGTATATTTGTCCAGGATTAAACCTGTTTCTTAGGAGTCACAGGCACAAAAGGAGGGCACCAAAACCTACAGCTGTGAGCCTTTGGAAGACCTTGGCTACCTATTTTTAAAACATCAACATTCAGCCAGAAGTGGTAACGTGATACTGTGGGTGGGAATAGGAACTTTAGTTTTTCTCTTCTTCCTGAGTGTAATACTTCCTTTCTGTAGCTTTAGCTAATCTCAAGGGAAACACCTCCTTTGTCCTTGTTGGGTGTAGAAGCCACACTAAGGCCCATCTTAAAACCATGTTGTCACTGTTCATCTTGTTCGTTCTCCCAATTACCATGATCCAGTATGGGTGGGGACATAACTCTATAGTAAATATTTCAACAATTATTGCATCAGGGAATCATCTTATTTGTTGGTTTTATCATCAACATTCCCAGGATACAGAATTTTATCTTCTGGTTTATCTGGAAAATATGACCATTCCCCCAGACCTCCTAACTAACCATAGCAATCCCAAAATATCCAAACTTCTACTTGTTAAATGGAACTCTTCCCCACTTAATGGACTCCACCTGAACACCCCGCCAACACCACCACTATTTCCTGGATGTGGAAAGCTGGGTATCTCTATCTCCAATGCACTAATCATTCTACCTTTTTAACCCACTATTGCATTAATGACACAAAAGTGGAAGCTTCCCTTCAGTGCTCTCATCCAACTTCAGTTGCCAAGTTCCCAAGGCTGCAGCAAGGTAAATGAGATTCCACTTGTCAGCAAGGAGACCATGTGCGGTGCCTTCTTCCGGACCAGAAAACACAAGAAAAAAACAGTTGCCTAGTTTGGAAAGGTGGGAGTACTACACCTTCTAGAAAACGAAGATTGTCTGACCACCCCATTAGAATGGGAGAAAAACATCTCTATAGACCCAACTTGGCAGTAAAGAATAAACATCACAACCTATAGAGCTTTTGTGTCCCAACTCGGCATATTTTTGTTTGTGGCAATAAATGGGAAGATGTCACAGCCTGTAACTGCTCCCAACTCCATAGAGAATCACCTGTTCTCTTAGTAGTAGCTTTCCCTTGTATATCAAAAACTTGGAGCAGAAGTGAATATTTGTTGGCCACCCTTGCCCCTCCAGAGGTCACTGTCTATAATCCCATAAGACACAAACATACCGGAAGTAAGCAAGCAATAGGATTAGTTCTGTCAGGAACCTGGGCAGTGATAGGACTAGCAGTACCCTGAGGCAGCTTTGCCTACCATGAGTTAACCCTAAGGAACTTGACTCAAACCCTGGAAGCCTGAGCCACTGACACAGGTCAGGCATTAAAGGGAACTCAAGAGTCTTTAGATTCTGGCAAATGTAGTTCTCGATAACAGACTACACTGGTTTATTTACTAGCTGAACATGGCGGAGTCTGTGTAGTTATTAACAAAATCTGCTGCACATATATTAAAAACTCTGGACAAGGTGAGATTAGCATTCAAAAGATCTGTGACCAAGCTACCTAGTTACATAGTCATAACCATGGCACTGATCCCAAATATAGCCAGTCAGCTATCAAAAGTGTCTTCCCAAGTCTCACCTGGTTTTTACCACTCCTAAGATCTTTTGACAGCCATCTTGTTGTTACTAAGTTTTGGTTCTTTCTTGTTTAACTTCTTAGTAAAATTTGTGTCTTCTAGATTAAACAGTTCCAGGTAAAAACAATGCTTGCAAGAAGCTTCCAAACCATCACATCTACTGACCTGAAGAATTAAAACCATCCTGCCTCTGGGCCCCTTAGATCAGGTATCCAGAGATTTTTACTCCTCCGGTGCTGGGCAGGACGTATGCCCATGGACCTCCACCTTTCTGCAGCCCCTTAAGATTAAGGAGAATCTAATCTCTGAGGGAGAATGAGGTAGGTGGCAGAACTAGACTCCAGAGGTGGGGCTAGGACACCAGGCCAGACTGAGGATGAATTGGCAGAAATATGAGTGTCAATCAGACACTGCCACCAGTGTGCTATGTCAATTTATCATTGCCAGGGCAACCCCTGGGAGTTACCACCCCTTTCCATGGCAATGAGCCAATGACTCAAAAGTTACTACCCTTTACCTAACCACCCTTTATATCCACTTTTAATTACATGCAGATTACATATGACTGCAAAACTCTCCTGAGCTGCTATGCATCTCTGCCTACAGGGTAGCCCTGCTCTGCAGGAGCAGTCACAGACCTGTAACACCACTGGAGCTGTAACACTGCCTCTTCAATAAGGCTGTTTTTTTCTGCCTCTGGCTTGCCCTTGAATCCTTTCCTGGGCAAAGCCAAGAAATCTTGTGAGCTAAGCCCCACTTCGGGCTTTCATGCCCTGCATCAGTTTTAAGAACTGAATTATGGCGAACTTAACTAGAAACCGAGTTGAAAGTAAGTTTACAACTCATACGGCATTTAGTTTCTCCTGAAAAGAGCCAGGGGTGGCGTTTGATAAGATCTCAAAACTAATCCAGGTCATCCCTGGTGTCCAAAACCCAGGAACAGGATAGTACTACCTTCAGCCACAATAACTGTTAGTTAGCAACTAACTTAATTTTTTAAAATACTGAAACGATAAAAGTTCCCTTGTTCCCCTCACAGGGTGTGCGATGTGGGCGTGGCTGGCTTCTTCAGTGCCCAGCTGCTCAAACCTCAAGGGGAGCATACAGACAGGCAGGCTGTGAGGCTGCGACCCCACGGCAGTGTCTAAGGGTGAATGTTTACAGCTCCTGAAGCCCCAGTGGGCATGTGTTAGAGGCTGCTCTTTTAGTTTAGCCATCCGTAGGTGGCTTGTGTTAAGCAGCTCACTTAGACCCTCTACCTTGTCATGAGGACAGAAGGCTTTCTGTATCCTGAGTTCTTGCCTTGGTGTACTGGAATAATCAAATCACACGTGGCTTGAAGAATGAGTAGGTTTTATTGAGTAAAAGTAGCTCTCATCCAGATGGGGGAGCCAGAGGGAGATGGTTTTCCCCTGAAGTCCGGCCGCTCAGCGGCCAAGCGCTCCTCCAACTGCCCCACCCAAACTCCGGGTCATTCTGCCAGTCAATGGCCTGCCAGCATCCAGGTACCTGTCAATGCATTCCTCTCAATGTCTAGCCACTTGTGGGTTCCCCTGCCGATGTGTTTCTCTCAATGTCTAGCTGTTTCTATCTCTGCCTTGTTAGGGTCTCGGGTTTTTATAGGCACAGAATGGCGGCATGGCAGGCCAAGGTGGTCTTGGGAAATGCAACATTTGGGTAGGAAAACAAACTGCCTCTTCTCACCTAGATCTGTGGGGTAGAGCCCTAGCCAGGGACCACACCCTCCTCTCCCCAGCACTTCCCTTCCTCCCTTCTGTATCTTTTAAAGGGACAACGCTCTTCCCCTCCCAGCACTCCCATATCAATACCGGAGGTTATAAGTGAGATTTAAATGCATTCAGTGCATGCTCAAGTCTTCATTTTATTATTTATTATTTTCTTAATAATAGCTAACATTTGAGTAATACAATGTGATAGACTTGGTCTTTTCTCATTTAATGTAATGAACTTTTCTGTGAAACAGTTATTAACAGTCTTATTTGGAGAAACTTAAGGCTCAGTGAGATAAACAAACTTGCCCTCACGTATTGGTCTTCCTTGGGATGCAATAACAAAATACCATATAATGAGTGGCTAAAACAACGGAATTTTATTTTCTTAAAGTTCTGGAGGCTGGGAAGTCCAAGATTAAGATTTTAGCCAATTTGGTTTCTGGTGAGGGTTCTCTTACTGGCTTGTAGATTTGCCTTCTCACTATGTTCCCACAGAGCACCTTTCTTTGGCTCACCCACTGAGAGTGGGGGGATGATCTGATATCTCTTCTTATAAGGACACTATTCTTATCAGATCAGGGCTCCACATTTATGATCCCGTTTAACTTAATTACTTCTTTAATGGCCTCATCTCCAAATATAGCCAGACTGTGAGTTCAGTCTTCAATACGTAAATTGTGCAGAGACAAAAACGTTCAGTCCAAAACACTTCTGTCACCTACCTAGAAAATACGTAGTAACTTTTTATAATACTTAAACATTAGAAGTCAGCCACCATATAGTTTTTATGTTAACTTCTCATTGGAGACTTGGGTTAAGTAAAATGACTTTAACAGAGTCGAAGATATTAGAAGAAATTAAATGAATCTGAGATGTATGAACTCTCAACCAAGCTATTTAAAAATATTTAATATTTATTTTAGGATGGTTACCATCCTAAAATAAGGTTGGATACCAAAAACTGATATTAAAATACCTGCTATAGTACACAAGTAGAAGAAGTAAGACAGGGGAAAAAAAAAAAAAAACACAGGCAAGATTCAAACTCATAGAAACAGGCCAGTGATATTATTTATAGAGCTCATCTTTAATGTTAATACCTAAGCTACAAGTAGGTTATCATAGAAATCCTTAGACAAGGCTGAGACACTTATTAATTTGAGATCACTAAGACAACTGAAAGGGGTAAAAATGAGAACAAATATAAAGTCTTAATGACATGGAAAAAGCTAATTTAAAGGTACAGAATAAATTTTCCCATATTAAACTGCTGCATATATTTGGAAATTAGGAAGTTTTTCAGACTGAATAACACTACAAATAATTTAAGAACATAATAGTACAGAACAGTACATACCTGCATGCCACACAATGTTTCCAGAGTCCTCCAGGCATGAGACAGTTCAGCAATTTCAAGTCCCCTCTGTTCTCACTATAATTACCAACAATTAAATCTTCGTATATGTCCCCTCTACCAACACCACTCACAAGTGCAAACTAGATCATGTTCATACAGATACTTTAGTAAATAACGAGCCTTCGATGTGACAAATACACAGGCTGCCAAAACCTACTCAGGTAACCTGTTTTTGTTTGTTTTTTGTTTTGGTTTTGGTTTCAATACTGACTTTACCAGATGAACACAGATTCCCCACATGTTGGCTGAAGGCTACTTACTTGTAAGCATCTAAGACCAAATAAGAGTTGAAATTGAAACAACCTCAACAGTTCCAAGACAGTATTTTTTGTTTATTTTTTATTTATTTATTTATTTAGTAAACATAGAAATTGACCCTTCTGGTCTTACAGCTTAAAACTTACATTTGTTTTATCTGAGCTCCTTCCTTATGAAATGACCCTCAGGCCTCTCACAGTATCAAAGGAGTGAAACTCACCAGATCACCACATGCAGACATTGAGATGGCAGATACATCATTCATCACGATTGCTTCCTTACCCCTTTCTAGCTCCTGTTTTCCCACACATAGTTACATTTCTTCCCTGCTATATAAACCCCTAATTTTAGTTGTTCAGGGAGATGGATTTGAGACTGATATCCCATCTCCTCAACTGCAGCACCTGATTACAGCCTTCTTTCTTGGCAATACTCATTGTGTCAGTGACTGGCTTCCTAGGCAGCTAACAGCAGGACCTAGACCAAACCCCTGGTGTTTCCATAACAAATTGAATATGTGTACAAGAAAACATGGCCCGATAAGGTTATGTGTTATTTCTTAGCAGGATTCAAGAGAACAAAGAATTCATTTTACATTTTAGATAAATCTAGCAATCAGAATGTAAACTTCAGCTTGTCTTCAAATCACACTTGCATATGATCAGGAAAACTCACCCTTTAAAATCTCTAACTATCTACATCCTAATGCTGGTGCATTTCTACCTGGTAAAGTATTTTTTGAATATCATGTCCAAGGAATCAGAGTCTTATATTTAGCTGTGATAACACTGGAGACTTCACCATTGTAGAATTGTTTCTTCAACAAATACAAACGTTCAACACTATGTTTAAGATTAGTTTTGGGTATAAGTTAATGGTTTTAGGATTGCAGAAACTGAAATTATAGTTTTCTCCATTTGGATATGAACAATCAATAAAAGGGGTCAGACATATAAGTAAGAAATAAAGCGTACAGACAAATTGGATCCCATCAGATACAAAGCTTTAGCAAAGTGGCCCAACAAGAAGCTTAGACATTGTTACAGCAAGATCTGTAGCTCATACACATGCTCTTAAGCACTATATAATTCTAGGATAGTTAACATTCACTTTTTAAGCAGACTTTTTTTTTTTTACTTGAAAACAATAGCTATTTTTTTCAAAAGCAAAGACGTTCCTACACATCTGAACTCAATCAAAAAAATTTGTAACGAGTTAAACTTCTATAATAAAACAGTATCAAACACTAACATTTGCAATACTATTAAAATCATCTCTGTCTCTAAGGATGCACAGCAAATAATCAACCTATTATAATAATTCCCTAAAAATCAAGTCATAAAGCAGATACATCAAGTAAATTACATTTATTCAAAAGTTACAAGGGGATAATCATTATCAGCCATCATCCATACAGTGAGCATCAATTATGGCCCTGCTGTGAAAACTACTTATGGGTAAAAACATATTTTTCTATAATCACTTCTAATAGTGAGAATATATTCAAATCATTCAAAGTAGATCAATATACACATTACAAAATTGGTCCCCAATGTAAGGTAAACAAACCCAGAATTACTAAAACACAATATATCTAAATGAATATTTGATCATTTTCTTTTCATTCTAGGTCTTTAGACTAGGCTGAAAAAATAAAATTCAAATGGTCCATATCGTTCCGCAAAAACTTTCCAAAAGTTTAAGAAGTAAGAAGCAGTGGGCTAGGGATTTAAGAAACAATAATCTAATGCATTTCTTTCAAATGTTTCCATAGTTTTTAAAAATTCAATTTAATTAGTTGCCTTATAGATTATTTCAACTTGGTACAAAAGATTATCCAATACATGTTAGTTATAGATTATTGCAATCTACTAAAAACATTTTTAAAGAACTATTCACCCACTATAGCACATTTGACAAAGTCTGGAGACAATTTTGGTTATTATAACTGGGAAACTGGTGGAGAATGGGCTGAAAGATGAGAGTACTCCCAGCATCTAGTGAGTAGGGGCCAGGGATGCTATTAAACATCCTACAATCACAGAACAGCCCCTACAACAAAGGTGATATTAATAGTCTCAGGGTTAAGAAATCGGTTGAGTGAAATATAGTTCAGACATAAAAACTCATGCAAATGCAGCAGGTACAGTGCTAGGTGCCACAGATACAAAGAGTAGGACAAGAGCATGGATTTTAGAAACCCAGAAGCCTGAGTTTCATTCTTGGTTTCATCATTCAATAATAATGTAATGTTGGAAAAAATTGTTTAATTTTCTAGTAGCAAACAAAGCTAATTCCACTTCTCTTATTTACTCTGAGAATCATGAGATAATATATGTAAAGTGTCTAGGACAGTGCCAGGGAATAAAGAGATATATAACTAAATGTGAAAGAGGAAACTGTCACAGTATAGAGCAGCCTAAGGACATATGACAACTCAGTGTAATGTAGTATCCTGGGTGATATCCTGTAACAGATGAAGAACATTAGGTAAAAACAAAGAAAATTTGAATAAAGTATGAGATCTGGTTAACAATCATGTATGAATATTGATTGTTGCACTCATTGTGATAAATATACTGTACTAATGTAAAATAATAATAATAAGGGAAACTGTATATGGAGTATGTGGGAACTCTGTGTACTAACTTCATGATTTTTTGTACGTCTAAATCTATCCTATTTAAAAAATATATATATTAAAAGGAAGGTAATCATTTTCTCCCTAAACTCAGTGATCCTGTCCCCTCTGTCAAATTTTCTCTTTACTTACTCCTGCCATCGGGATGATGATGTTTAGCTCCAACAGCATTCAAATAAAGACTAGATGAGAAGACAAGATGTGATACATACCAGAGAGTTTAACTCTATTAAAAATCAAGATATATAAGTCCTAAGTCATTTAGAATATAAAATAATTTAATTTTTTTCAAAAGAGATTTCAAAAAATTACTCACAAAATTGTCAAGATAAAGGAAATGGACAACGCTTATTAGATAGTAACCAAAACCTCATAAAAATAGATAAATGAAAAAAGCATTTGGGTGTTAAGGCAGTCCTGTGACTGAGTGGAAAATACTTTCTATGCTATGATCCCAAGACAACAGCATGTTTACTGGATGGATATTGGCTTTTCTAGTGTAAAATTTATTTTTCTTTCTATATGAAGATTTACAGAGATTTCATGCTAAAAACTGAGATTGCCCCTGAAAACAAGGCTGCAGGCAGATAAAACATGCAAAGCAAATCTCTACTAAAAAGAACCATTTTGAAATATGTTAAGATAAATATTTAAATACTAACAAGCACAAATTTTAAATATGTAAAGAGAAATAAAAGTAGCTGCTGGCCCTGCTTTAAATCATATAGATAAATAAAACAGCATATGGAAAGTACCTTGAGCTCTCCAGAAAAGTGCTATCAGGTAAGTTCAAGAATTAGGTTATAAAATAAAGAGGTAGCAGCATAACATACCACTTCCTTCTTGCATTTGTGTACATTAAAAAACAAACAAACAAAGCAGTGTATTTGAGTTACTGGCTGAAGGTTGGCATAGAGACCTTATTTTTTATTTCTTACCTAAATCAGGTGGCCAGTCTTTATAGCCTCTTTAAGAGGTATAGAAGAGCTACAAATTGGTAGAGAAACAAAAGTGCAAAGCTGCTTGCCAGATCAGAGCACACAGAAACGCAATGGTAAATTTTATGAGTTGAATTATTTCTACCAAAAATACATTGATATTCTAATTCCAGATACCTGTGAATTATGACTTTATTTGGAAATAGGGTGTTTGCAGATGGAATCAAGTTAAGATTAGGTAATTATGGATACTAATCTAATGACTGGTAACACAGACCTTTGAACAAACATTAGGTTTCTCTGAGTCTCCTGCTTGACTAGACTCAACCTTGGGTTTCCCTCTCTGTCCTTGTAGAATAAAATTTATGCAAGAATACTGATGAAACAGTTTACAAAAGCAAAGACGTTCCTGATCTGGGTACCTGATCACCCTTGCTATCTTATCACTCTGGCCTGTCTTCAGTAATATCAAGTCTATTTAGCCAGAAACCTTTTATCCTTGACTTTCCCTTTTAATGATTTTCCATCTACTGACCCTCACTCTGCCCCTTGGTTATAAATCCCCACTTCTTCCTGGAGTCAAAGTTGAGTTCAGTCTTTCTTCCCCAGCTATAAGACCTCATCGTAGTGGTCCCTATAGCTATTGCTATGCCCCCCGCCCTTCTGTAAGGTTAGCATTACTGTCTTCAAGAAGTGTTATGAATAATTTTCTCTTTAATACCTGGATCACTATAAGACAACAGCACATGCACAGAAGACAGTCATGTGACAATGAAGGCAGGGATTGGAGTGATCCATCTACAAGTGAAGGAGCACCAAGGATTAGCAAGGACAACAACAAGCAGAAGCTAAGAAGAGGCAAGGAAGGATTCTCCCATAGAGCCTTTAGAGGAAGAGAGACCTGCTGACACCTTAATTCTGGACTACTAGTTGCCAACACTGGGAGGTAATATATTTCTGTTGTTTTAAGCAACCTAGTTTATAGTAATTTGTATGGAAACCCTGGGTAACACACATAGTAAGGAACCAAGACTCATAGGCTCCCATCACTGTGCTCACCAGAACTGTGACAAGGCAACTAAATAGTGGAAGAGCAATTAACAAAATGCCAGCAGATAGGGAATCCAACTGCAGCAAGCCAAACAAGCAAGAAAGCCCAATGGACCCATCCCTGCCCACTGCACATGAGGTAGAGAGGGGAGTGGTGTTTTCCTTGGGATAAGATCCACTAACCAATATAGCTCTTTCCTCTGAGTGTCATCTAGTTTCCAAATACACCTTTACAGCACTAGGAACTTGTTTAAAAGTGCCCAAAGCCAACAAGTATTCCTGCTGTTTTAGAAGACAGGTACCATGTTTTTTGTCACCTAAAATCTGACAATTTATTTTACTCAGGAAGTGAACCTAAGATTTATCAAGACTGTCTCCAAATAGCACTGGAAAATGTTTTAAATGATAAATGTCGAAGAATTTCCCCTCATTCCGTAGTGTAAAACAAGCCAAAATCCTGTCTTTTGAAATCATGTGCTTATCTAAATTTTTCGAATGGGAGCAGAGTAAGGCCAATATTCAGATCTTTCTTAGAAAAGCGGTTCTCTATCAACATTTATCATTATCATTTTGAAGATTAAAGGAACATTAATTAGTAGCTCAGACGTAAGACTGGAGCGTATGAGATGCACCCATTTGACCTAAACCAGTTCACCTTCAGGAAGAGGTCAGTTTCACTGGTTGGGATTTTACAAAGAAAGCCTTTTGTCAGGTGAGGAATCAATTTCTAGATCACTCCAAATGTGGCTCCAGAAAGGTGAAAAGTTGTAACTTATCTAAAAGAGAAAATTAGTCAACAGGATATCGTAGTCATCTAAATAACCCCTATTTACTGTCTTATAGACAGGCTAGAATTACAATGTTAGAACTGATCATCCAATTCCATTCACTTGTTTGGACATCGGCAGAAACCGAGATCCTCAGCAAAAATAACATTAAGCTGGTGGCAGAAACTACCAAGTTCTCTACCAATGTCATGTAACAATAACAACAACAAAAAAAGTCAAAAACTTGTTTTACTTAAATACTGCTTATCCACAGAAAACGTGACAAATATCTTTTATGCCACGCTTCTGCCGTTAGAATTTATACAACAGAAACCTCTCATCTCTCTCAGGAAGTTTGGAGGAGACATGTGGGGACTCCTGAACCCCACCCCACTGGAGAATAAAGGGGACAAGCGAGGCGCCCCACTGGAATCCCGTTCGGACTGGGAAACCAAGGTTGGTGGCTAAGACATGGCAAAGAGGGTCACAATTTCCACCTGTCACCAAACCCCCATGTCACCTCACTTGTCACCAGTAATGACTTGTAGTACCTAAGTGCACAAACTCTCCATATCACCACATTTGTCACTAATGATGACTTGCAGCGCCTAAGTGCACTGGAGGCACACTGGGGGGTCGCCTAACCCCGAGCGCGCTGGGAGCCCAAGGGGCATAAGAATTAGAGTCTGCCTAACTCAGGGGAAACTGACCTGAGAGGGCGAACCAACCGCGGGGTTGCCAGCGGCAGTCTGTGGGAAGGAGGGGAGCTCAATTCGCCCACACCCCGGAGGGTCCCCAAGGAAGGCCATGTGGAGCGGTGGAACAGGCTGGCTGCTGAGGGAATGGCTGCCCTAAGCCAGGAACCTCCACCACCACCGTCCACCAGTCCCGGGCAAGGACCATGGTCCACGTTACCCAACTGCTCCAGCCCTGGAGGGGGTCGCCTTCACCTACCTGGGGAGCCTCTGTGCTGAGCCTTGGCAACCGAGAAGTTCCTCCAGGATGCTTTCTCCCCATATTACCACCCTAGGGAGTCAGCACCGCTGTCCACGGAGGAGCTCTCCCCAGTCCCTGCCCCGCTCGCCCAGGATATGACCCATGCCCAGGCCTCATGCCTCCTTGGTCCGCGTGAGCACGTGGCCAGTAGGGTTAGGGGCAGGTGCCAGCCCATGCACTCCTGAGACCCTTAACAATGCCAGCGAGTAGCCGGATGGAAAGTAATTCACTGTCTCTTGTCTGGCAATGCTGCGCTGGTCCACACCCTGCCCAATGGCAGGGGGAAAAGGGCCAGCGCAGACGACTTGGATTCCAAGCAAAAATTCACCCTAGATTAACTTCCTGCCTTAAAATAGTGGTTAAACTATTTAACCCACTCTGTGCCTAACTTTCCTCACTTGTCACGTGGAGGTAATATTAGTACCCACTTGATGGAGTTTTTTGTGAAGAGTACACAAACTAATCTGTATTTAGTAATTGGATCTGAAACATAAATGCTTAAATGATGTTATAGTAATAAATGCACTAAGTTTTTCACATATAAAGAACAAACAAATCTGTATCAGGCCCAGAAGAGCAGTATCTAGAGGTCACAGACAGGAGGGCCTGAAAGGCTGGGTAGGAGCCAGTTGCTATAGAAAGGGAAGAACTGGGCCAGGCGAGGTGGCTCACGCCTGTAATCCCAGCACTTTGGGAAGCACGAGGTCAGGAGTTCAAGGCCAGTCTGGCCAACATGGTGAAACCTGGTCTCTACTAAAAATACAAAAATTAGCTGGGCGTGGTGATGCGCATCTGTAAACCCAGCTACTCGGGAGGTTGAGGCAGGAGAATCCCTTGAACCCAGGAGGCGGAGGTTGCAGTGAGTAGAGATTGTGCCACTGCACTCCAGCCTGGGTGACAGAGCAAGATTTCGTAAAAAAAAAAAAAAAAGAAAGAAAGGAAGAGGATCCAGCTGATAATAGAAAGCATCTTAGTTGCAACAGAAGTTGAAGCCAAGGAATCCAGGGAGAAGTCCATTGTGGGGACAGGCAATCCGGAAGCTGCAGTTACCTCTGAAATGATAAGGGGTCTAAGAGATGAAATAATGCAGTTGCCAGGCACTTGCTACTTTTTCAGGTTTTAGAATTTTGCATTTATTTTAAACCTTTGGTAAATCTATTAATGTCTTTTCTTCCTGAGAAGGATGTTTGTTTGATTTTGTTATAAATTAGTAGAACGTTTAAGAGGGAGCTCCTTATTTTGTTTATTGGAAAAATCTACATGTGGTTGTTTCAGAGACTACATAGTAAGAAGCGGTGATCTTAAGGGTAGTGGCTAAATCTTGGCGGGGGAAGTGGAGGGAAGGGGACAACAATAACTTATCCTAAGACTTTGAAAAATTTGTCAACCACTGGGCTTATGTACCCATACCTTTGTGGGTAGGGGAGGGATAAAATCCAGCCTCACTTCTTTTCAAGAAATCTCCTTTGTAATTGATCAGTTGACTATTGCTTACAGAATTAAGATACAACTGAGGGCCAGTTTCAGTCATCAGATAGATGGGTGTTAAAACAAAGTAATATGGCCTGAGAAGGACTCCCTAGTTATATATTTGAGTACTTGTGGATGAACTGCCACCTAACTTAATAGGTAGACAAGTTTGGAAATCCAACTTAGGAGTTTGTGCCTATAACAATAGCTGAGTCTTGGCCCATCCCAGCAGCCATACTTCAAATGCTGAGCGTTCAAACTGTGTTCAAATAAGGCAAACACCAACCTATAACCAATCCAACTGCTCTGTATGTTACTTCTGATTTCTGTACATTATTTCCCCTTTTTTTTTGGCTATAAATTTTTTTCCACCACGTGGCTGGGCTGGAGCCTCTGAATCTGCTGTGATTCCAGGGGCTACCAGATTCACGAATGGTTCATTATTGTTGAATTTTAAGAGTTCTATGTATATTTGGCATAAAAATTATTTGTTGGATATGGGCCTTTAAATATTTTTTCCTAATGTGCAGCTTGTCCCTTCATTCTGTCTGTTGCAGAGATATTTTCAACTTCACTTAAGTCCAACTTACATATTTCATGGAGAGTGCATTTGGTGATGTGACTAAATGCAAGGTCACTTGGATTTTCTCCTATGTTCTCTTCTTGGAGATCACAGTTTTGCATTACATATTTCTGTCTAAGATCCACTTTAAAAGATTGTTTTTTGACAAGTGTAATATATGTCTACATTCATTGTAATGTGTGTGGCTGTACATTTGTTGCAGCACCATTTGTTGAAAATATTATCTTTTCTGCAATGATTTGCCTTTTCCCTTTCGTCGGAGATCAGTAGATATTTGTATGTGTGTTGCATGAAGTCAGGGACCCCAAACGGAGGGACCGGCTGAAGCCATGGCAGAAGAACACGGATTGTGAAGATTTCATGGACACTCATTAGTTCGCCAAATTAATACTTTCATAATTTCCTATGCCTGTCTTTACTGCAATCTCTAAACATAAATTGTGAAGATTTCATGGACACTTATCACTTCCCCAATCAATACCCTTGTGATTTCCTAGGCCTGTCTTTACTTTAATCTCTTAATCCTGTCATCTTGTAAGCCCTGTGATAATTGCGTTAACTGCACAAATTGTAGAGCATGTGTGTTTAAACAATATGAAATCTGGGCACCTTGAAAAAAGAACAGGATAACAGCAATGTTTAGGAAACAAGAGAGATAACCTTAAACTCTGACCGCCAGTGAGCTGGGCAGAACAGAGCCATATTTCTCTTCTTTCAAAAGCAAATGGGAGAAATATCACTGAACTCTTTTTCTCAGCAAGGAACATCCCTGGGAAAGAGAATATGCACCTGGGGGTGGGTCTCTGAACTGGCCCCCCCGGGCGTGGCCGTCTTCTGTGGTTGAAACTGTAGGGGTGAAATAGATCCCAGTCTCCCATATCACTCTCAGGCTTATTAGGAAGAGGAAATTCCCGCCTAATAAATTTTGGTTAGACTGGTTGCTCTCAAAACCCTGTCTCCTGATAAGATGTTATCAATGACAATGGTGCCTGAAACTTCCTTAGCAATTTTGGTTTCTCCCTGGTCCTGTGGTCCTGTGATCTCACCCTGCCTCCATTTGCCTTGTGATATTCTATTACCTTGTGAAGTATGTGACCTCTGTGACCCACACATATTTGTACACTCCCTCCCCTTTTGAAAGTCCCTAATAAAAACTTGCTGGTTTTGCGGCTTGTGGGGCATCACGGAACCTACCGACATGTGATGTCTCCCCCGGATGCCCAGCTTTAAAATTTCTCTCTTTTTTACTCTGTCCCTTTATTTCTCAAACCGGCTGACGCTTAGGGAAAATGGAAAAGAACCTACGTGACTATCAGGGCAGGTTCTCCAATATATGTGCCTATTTCTAGACTTTCTATTTTGTTCTATTGGTCTATTTGCCTGTTCTTTTGCAAGTACCACACTGTCTTCATTACTGCTGCTTTATAGTAAGTCTTGAATTCAGGTAGTTGAGTAACTTTTTTCTTCCTTAATGTTTTGTTAGCTATTCTGGGTCTTTTGCCTTTCCATATAAACTTTATAATCACTTTGTTGATTTTCACAAAATTACTTTCAGGGATTTTGATTTGGATTGCATTGAATCTATAGATAATTTGGAAAGAACTGGCATCCTAACAACATAAAGTCTTCCTATTCAAAAACATGAAACACTTATCCACTTATTTGGACATGCTTTCATTTCATTCATCAGTTTTATTTTCCTCATATAGATTTTGTGCATATCATGCTAGATTAAAATCTAAGTAATTCATTTTTTGGTGCTAACGTAAATGGTGTTTATTTATTATATTTATTTTATTTATTTATTTATTTATTTTTTTGAGAGGGAGTCTTGCTGTGTTTCCGATGCTGGAGTGCAGTGGCCCTATCTCGGCTCACTGCAACCTCCACCTGCCAGGTTCAAGCAATTCTCCCCACCTCAGCCTCCCAAGTAGCTGGAATTACAGGTGCCCACCACCATACTTGGCTAATTTTTGTATTTTTTGTAGAGACAGGGTTTTGCCATGTTGGCCAGGCTGGTCTCGAACCCCTGACCTCAGGCTATCCACCCACCTCGACCTCCCAAAGTGCTGGGATTACAGTCATGAGCCACCGCACCCGGCCAACCTTTTCTACATTTTCAAATTACAATCGCTATTGGTGGTATATAAGAAAACTATTGACATTTATATATTAACATTGTATTCAGCAACCTTGCCGTAATTGCTTATTAGTTCCAGAAATTCTTTTTGTTGATTTCCTTGGGGTTTTCAACAATTATATCACCTGCAATCAAAGAGAATTTTATTTTTTTCTTCCCTATTTGTATACCTTTTATTTCTTTTTCTTATCTTCTTGCACTAGTAGGACTTCCAGAAGAATTTTGAATAGGAATGGGAATGGAGGCACACTTGCCTTGTCTCTGATCTTAGGGGAAAAGCTCCTAGTTTATTGTACATTGAATAAGATGTTATTTGTAGGATTTCTGTAGTAGTTGTTTATCAAGTTGAGGAAGTTCCCCTTTATTCCTAATTTTCTAGGTTTTTAAAAATCATAAAGAGATAACAGATTTTGCCAAATGCTTTTGCTGCATCTGTTGAAATGATCATATGACATTTTTCTTTTTTGGTCTGTTGATGTGACAGATGTCATTTATTGATTTTCAAATGTTGTACAATTTTTTCATATCTTGAATAATTCTCACTTGGTTATAGTATATAATTTTTATCCATTGTTGAATTGGATTCGCTAATATTTTGTTGAGTATTTTTGCAGATATGTTCATAAGAAATGTTAAATCTGTAGTTTTCCCTTCTTGTAATGTTTATGTCCGGTTTTGATAATAGATAATGCTGGCCTAGTAGAGGGGTTAGGAAGCATTCTCTCTTTTATTTTCTGGACGAGATTGTAGAAAATTGATATCATTTCTTCCTTAAATGTTTGGTAGAATTCTACAGTGAACCCATCTGGGCCTGTGCTTTCTGCACTGAAAAGTTATTAATCATTAATTCAATGTCTTTAATATACATACATGTATATTCAGATTATTTATTTCTCCTTCTGTGAATTGTGGTAGTTGTGTCTTTCAAGGAATTGGTCTATTTTATCTAAATTTACAAATCGGCTGGCATAGAGTAGCTCATAATATTCCTTTTTATCCTTATAACCATCTTGGATTCAGTAGTGATTGTCCTTGTTTCATTTTTGATATTATTAATATGTGTATCTTCTCTCTTTTTTCCCTTGGTTAGCCTGGATAGAGTTTTGTCAGTTTTGCTTATCTGCTTACGGAAGCAGCTTTTGATTTCATTGATTTTTTCCTATTGATTTTCTGTTTTCAATTTCATTGGTTTCTGCTATAAGTTTTAATGTTTATTTTCTTCTGCTTACCTGGGATTTTGTGTTCTATTTTTTTCTAGTTTCCCGAGGTAAAAGCTTAGATTATTGATTTTAGGTCTTTTTTTCTTTTCAAAAATATACATTCAGTGCTATAAATTTTCCTCTAAACCTTACTTTCATTGAATCCCACAAATATCGGTAAGTTGTATTTCCATTTTCATGTAGGTCAAAATATTTTCAAATTTCTCATAAACTTTCCTTCTTGGCTTATGTGTTATTTAGAATTGTGTTGTTCATTCCAATTTTTTTTTTATTTTCAACTATATTTCTATAATTAATTTCTAGTTTAATTTCATTGTGGCCTAAGAATGAAATTGTGTGATTTCTGTTGTTTTACATTAGTGAAGGTATGTTTTATAGTACAGAATGTGGCATAGCTTTGTGAATGTTCTATGTGAGCGTGAGAAGAATGTGTATTCTGCTGTATTTTGTAAATGCTAATTAGATACAGTTGATTGATGATACTGTTCAGTTTAATCGTATTCTTTATGGATTTTTAACATTTAATTAAGATAACATATTTTAGGCTTTTTCTGATATGAACATAGACTTCCAACATATGTATATCTGTATGTGTGTGTGTTTATGTGTGTGTGTGTGTGTGTGTGCATGTGTGTATATGCTTAATGATTTTGTGCCTAAGGATCTTTCAATTCGATCTGACAGAAGGGTCTTGAAGTCTCCAAATATATTGGTGGATTTCTTATTTCTCCTTGCAGTTCTATTAGTTTTTGCCTCATGTATTTTAACACTTTATTGTTAGGAAAGATATAATTTAGGCTGGGCATGGTGGCTCATGCCTGTAATCCCAGCACTTTGGAAGGCCGAGGTGGGCAGATCACCTGAGGTCTGGAGTTGTAGACCAGGCTGACCAACATGGAGAAACCCCATCCCTACTAAAAATACAAAATTAGCTGGGCAAGGTGGTGTGCACCTGTAATCCTAGCTACTCAGGAGGCCAAGGCAGGAAAATTGCTTGAACCCGGGAGGCGGAGGTTGTGGTGAGCCAAGATCTCGCCATTGCACTCCAGCCTAGGCAACAAGAGTGAAAGTCTGTCTCAAAAAAAAAAAAAGAAAGAAAGAAAGAAAGAAGAAAGGATATAATTTAAAGACTGTGGGTTTTTTGTTTTGTTTCATTTAGTTTTCAGAGAAATAACCCCTTTATCATTTCATAATGCCCTTTCTCCACATCGAAGGCTAGAGGGGCCCAGAATTGGATATTACTCTTACACAAGCTAGATTAGGCTCTGGCAAAAACTAAGTTGGTTAGGCTCTGGGAAAATAGTTTTGTTGGAGGTCCCTTTTTTGTTAAGGGAAATAGACTGCTCTGGCCGTATTTGAAAGGGGTCAGTCATCTCCTCCCCCTTTTGAAGGTTCAAAGGTAATTATTTCCAAATTTCATCTCTAGAAAATGGTGGAGCTACTGGGAGGAAAACTTGTAAAAATGTAAGAATCCATTCTAAGACTAGGCTCCCAGAGGTTTTAAGCCTCCAGCTGGTTTCACAGAAAGCCTCCAGCAGTTGGTCAATCACAGTGTATATGCCCTTTCCAGTACGGGCTCCAGAGATGAGTTTCTGCTCCCCTGCTTCTACTCCTGGTAATCTGTGAACCTTGATGTCTGTCTTTCTTACAATTTTTGGTGTGGTAGTTTGCTGTATGTTCCCAAATGTCTAATGGATCTAAGCAGTATTGTTGATTTTCAGTTTGTTCCACTTTTTTTCTTGTTATGAGAACAGAAATGACTTCCAATCTTTTTACCTGTAGTACACCAACCAGAAATCATCCTGTCATATTTTTATTCTCTAATATTTCAGAATGTATATCTTAATTACTTGACAAAATGGAAAAGTGTTTAAGGCAAGGAGCATATTTTATATGCTCTCATATTAGATGCTGATATCGTTTGGATGGTTGTTCCCACCCAAATCTCAGGTTCAAATGTAATCCCCAATGTTGGAAATGGGGGCCTAGTATTGATTAGATCATGTGGCATAGTTCTCATGAATGGTTTCGTACCATCCACTTGGTAGCATTCTTGCAATAGTGAGTGAGCTCTAACGAGATCTGGTCATTTAAAAGTGTGCTGCACCCACCCTGCTCCCCCCATCTCTCTTTCACTCCTGCTTTCAAAATGTGATGTTCCTACTCTCTCCCTTTGCCTTCTGCCACGATTGTAAGCTTCCTGAGGCCTACTTAGAAACCGAGCAGATGTCTGCACATGCTTTTTACAAAGCCTACAGAACTGTGAGCCAATTAAACCTCTTTTCTTTATAAATTACCCAGCCTCAGGTATTTCTGATAACCAATGCCACGATTATTCTCATCAAAATCCAGAGCTTAAAAAATTTCAGTTTATTCCTTTGTTAAATTTAAGGTTTGGAAACCTCTAAATTAAAAAAAAAACTCACATATTAAGTAAATATTACAGGCAAACAGTTTATGACATGAAAGGAAATTTCTTTCATCCATTTTTTCTTAACCTGCTGAATAGCTGCATAACTTAAAACTGATTTTTTTTTCTTTTGTGCTATAAAACTACCAGCAGCATACACACAGGTTGTAATTTTTATGGAAGCTTTTTTTCCACTTATACAGTGCTTAAAATCAATTTTATTGATTATTTCTCCAAACAAGTGTGTCAAATCAGTACTATGGATAGCATATGGGAGAACTTCACATGGTCTAAGACAAAACTTGTCTAAGCCAGTTGAGAGATAGAAAACACTACAGAAAGCTTACAAAATTGCTTGTCTGTTCTGGGGTAATATGAAATTTGTGCATGTCCAAAAATGAGCTCATTATATTCCCCTTTAAACTGAATCTATTCAAAAAAAAAAAAAAAAAAAAACACTCAGGCCAAAAATCTTTGAGCCATCTTTGTCTCCAATTTTGCTTTCACAGTTTGTATCCAATTCATTATGAAATCTGTTGTCTCTACTTTGAAAACATATCCTGAATCTGACCATGCCTCCCTACTTATTGTATATATTGATTTATGGATTATACCTGTTGCTTATTTTCTGTCTTCTCACCCAGCCCATCCCTGCCCCTGCCAATGTAATCTCCATATGTGTAGGACTAATTGACATATCCTAAGAACCTAGAATGGTTGTCTGGTATACTCTAGGTGCTCAATAAATATTTATTGAATTAATGAACGGAATTCTCTTCTCCTTATTACTAAATTCTCTTTATTTTCATGGCAAAATTGTTCCACTGTTTTCATTTTGAGTTTTTCTTTCCCTCTCACTTTTTTCTTCATTCTTGAAAGAGAAAAGGCCTAATTTGTCTAATATTTGTATAAAGCCAAGCGAAAGAAATGATCCTTAAATCTTCACATTATAGAGTGCTGTGTTATTGAATATCTTTGCTTGTTTGGCTCTTTAGCAGGAGAAATGACCAGTGTAGATTTACATGACGAGGTCTGTAATCCAGCATCTGAAGAGTTTCTTTTTGTGTTTGGAAAAATCTGTGCACCAGGGTCGACTTTCTAGACTTTTATTTGACCCAGATTCTACTCCATATGCACAGTATGAATATATTCAATGTCTTTTCCATTGCTACTGTCTCCTGTGTAGGAAAATACCAGGTCACCTGCCCTTTCAGCTCTTACAGTCTTCAGAAGCCTTTTGAGTGTGGGGAAGGAACTTCAAGTTTAACTTCTCTTTTAAAACCTGGTTACCTATTCTTTCAGCCACCATTTATCCAATAAATTCGGGCTTGATAGTTTAATTCGGCCAATTTTTTACTGAGTTATTTATCATACTAACATCTTACTTTCTCAAAAAGCAGTATTGAATGTCAGCCATGGTGGCTTTCTTCTGAGCCCTCCAAAGTGTTCCAACCTATTTGTCACTGAGTTCCAAAGTCACTTCCACATTTTCAGGTATCTTTAAAGGAATGCCCCACTAGCCAGTACCAATATACTGTAGTAGTCCATTCTCACACACTAATAAAGACATATCTGAGGCTGGGTAATTTATAAAGAAAAGAGGTTTAATTGACTCACAGTTCATCATGTTTTGAAAGGCCCCAGGAAACTTACAATCACCGCAGAAGGAGAAGCAAACATGTCCTCCTCCATACGATGTCAGCAAGGAGATGTGCTGAGCAAAAGGGGAAAAGCCCCTTATAAAACCACCACATTTCATGAGAAGTCACTCACTGTCATGAGAACAGCATGAGGGTAACCATCCCCTTAGTTAAATTACCTCCCACCAGGTCCCTCCCACAACAAGTAAGTATTATGGGAACTATAATTCAAGATGAGATTTGGGTGGGCACACAGCAAAAACGTATTAGTATATGCATCTATAATTATTTCAAAATTAAAAGTTTAATTGAAAAAATTAAGTGCAGAGTGATTGAAGGAAAGAATGTAAGTTTAGGATCCCGAAGCTTCTGTCTCATTGCTTCAGGGACAAACTGCCTCTTCTAGATGCAGTTCTAGTTCTAGTTGCTGTGGATACAGAGGTGAACAAGCCTTACTCGGTTCCTGCTCTCATAAACTTGACATTTTAATTGAGAATTTGAATCGAGAAGAAAATGGTGGCAACATAATTTCAGTTAGTTTTTAAGTTATATGAAAAAATTAAGGGAAAGGGGCAAAGAGATAAGAATATCAGGGGAGAGGGAGGAGAATTAATTTAGGCTTCTCCGATGTGATGGTGCTTCAGTGGAAACCTGACTGAAGTGAAGGAGGCAGCTATAGGAAGAGTGGCCCAGAGGAACTATCAAGTACAAAGATCCTAAGGCAGGAATGAGTTTGAAAGATTGATATATTTGAGACGAAAGAAATCTAATGGGTTGTAGCTCTGTGAGGTAGGAGAGCCTGTGAGGTGGCCAGCAACCAGATAAAGCAGAAATTTTGAGGCCATGATAAAGAGTTGGAATTTAATGTTAAATGTAAAGAAAAGCCATTCCAGAGACTTAAGTGGGAAATGGCATGATCCAGTTTATTTATTTATATATGTATTTATTATTTTTTTGAATCATCCTGGCCACAATTTGGAGAATGGGTAGAGAGGTCCAAGAATAGAATTAGAGAGAACAGTTAGGAGGCTTTGAAGCAAATAAGAACTCCTAGAAGAGTCAGATGTCAGATTAGGTAGACATAAATATCTTAAAAAGTTCTTCCTGATTCAATAAGCATGGAGCCTGAACTGAAAATAGAAGCTGTGCAGAAAAAGATCTGTTCATAAATCCAGGAAGCCAAAGGTAAAATCTGACAGGCTGTGATACTATAATTTTAGAAGAACCATGCCAGGCATAGATGATCTCTAATAGCCTGTAGCTTAACTGACCATGAGCTCCCTTCTTTGGTGCATTTTATAAGGTACTTAAGCTTAAAGAAATAATTGGAGGTTAGTTGAAGATGATCGCCAATTAAATGGCTACTTTGTTCAGGTGTATTCTAAAAGTTATTTACTGCTCTTTGAATTAGATATCTAATTAGTTTCTTACTTGAGTGTTAAACAGGGCTAATGGCAATTGAGGCCTATCTAGTAAGAAGTTGAGGTTTCCAATATTATTTCCTTCGATGAAAGCTAAGTTACCCTTTCTATGTTAGGACAGGTTCTTTTTATGTATTTTACTTCCTGCCCACCCCTTGTAATTCCCTTAGAGCATTTTTACCTACCTAACTTTAATGTGGTTAAAGTCATACCATAAGCTTTCGAAATACATTTCTTTCTAGTCTCAAGTTGTAAGATTAATATTTGCACAAGAACAATAAGCAAAAGATTGGAGCTTAAGAATGCAAGTTTGGAAAGCTTGCTTCTTGTGTTAGAATATTGACTCTACCAACGGGCTGGTGACCTGAAGCAAGTCTTTTCTTTTTCAAAATACCTCAGTTTTCTCATTTGTAAATGGAGGTAAAAATAATAGCTCATCCTAATGTTGTTTTGAGAATTGAAGCCTGCCTGGAAATCTCAGTCTTCTTTATGCCCAGGAAGGACAGGAAGCAGGTGTAGGGAAGCTCTGGAGGTCCGTTCCACTGCAAGTGATGCAAAGGCAGCTTTAAAGAGATGTCACGGATTTAACACCCACACTAAAGGAAATAGGATGGATATTCTCCACGATTCTTTCTTAAATGAGAACGGTTGTCACGTTTGGTATACCTAATGCAGTGTACATCATACTAGATGATGACTTGTCAGATTTTGAGGAGACGCAGATATGCTGGAGTAGGTAAGGAAAAAAATGAATATTAGAGTCAGCAATGCTCTGCTGATTATATGTCCAACCTGCATGACTGCTATTAATCCTACCCCCACATAAGTGCTACCCAGAAGCCCCAGGACCCTCCAAACAGGACTTAACAGAAGACAGACAAAATGGCATGTTCAAAGGCAAAAGAGAAGGAGACCCATCTTTATGGAGTTGAAAAGGCTTTCATTCTTCAGGTTTAATAAGAGCAGTGGACACATTGGCCACTAACAGACCTGACAGTATTGGGCCTCAAGATTTGTGGAGAGATAGCTACTAATACATGGAAACTATGAGGTAAACCTACAATTGCTGGGGGATTTGTAAGTGGCAGAAGTACTAAGTGCTACTTTGGCCTCCTAGGCTCTTTAAATCTGAATAGAGTAGCTGGCATTCCATTCTTTTCATGGTATTAGCATACTATTGTCTTGAGTTGTCTAGGTAGGAATATGTAGCCTTTAATCTAGCTCTAAGTTTTATGACCCTTATAGAGAAGACTGAAGGCAGAGGAAAGAGTCCTTGACTCTCATTTGCCTACAGCCCCCAGATGTGGAGCTGAGTGTTAGAAGATGATGGTATCTTTACCTGTGCATTTTCCTAGAGACTCAGGATGAGAAGAATTATTAAAGCAAAATTCATTAGGTTTTCTTCCTCCATGAGTTGTCATAACACTGCATAGAATATAAAGGACACCAATATTTCTGAAGGGATTCTACATACCTCTTTCTATCCAGATATGATTGTTTGGGGAATTATAACAATAACACAATAATTACTGGACCATAACAATTCATCCAAATCCTAGGGTTCTTTCCCATCTATTTCTAATACCTGTATTAGTTGGATAGGACTGCCATGATGAAATATCACAGTCTGGACAGCTTAAACAACAGATATATATTTTATCACTGTTTTGGAGACTGAGAGTTCAAGATCAAGCTGCTGTTGGGTTCGGTTTCCCCTGACATGTCTCTGCCTAGCTTACAGATAGCCCCCTTCTCACTGTGTCCTCACACAATCTTTTCTTTTTTTTTTTTTATGTGTACTTCTCTGGAGTCTCTTTTTCTTAAAAGGACACTAGTCATCTTGGATTAGGGCCCCACCCTTTTGACCTAATTTAATCATAATGACCTCTTTAAAGGCTTTATGTCTAAACACAGTCACATTTGGAGGTACTTGGGGTTAGAGTTTCAACATATAAATGATGGCAAGGATGCAATTCAGTCCATAACAATACCTAAAGCATATTTCAGTTAAAGTGGTGTCTCTATCTTTGCACTGTCCAAGGAACACAATGCTATCAATCATCCATATAATAATGAGTGAAAAGTGAAAATCTAATATCCCTAGGAAATAGCTTTTTTCTTTTCCAATGGTAGAGAATAGAAGCCTAAATCTGTAGTGACCTTTACTGTTAACTAACAGTGATGGCAGCCTAGAGTTTAGCAGTCTTGGAACACATAAAGAGGGTGTTCTTGAGAAGCCTGTCATGGGTTGAAAATTGAGGAAAGTCTAGGAACTTCTTAACCCTTTCATGGCTCCCATATTTTCATCTGAAAATTGGTTATTATCTCTGGCTTTATTCCAGAGGTGTTAAAGCATGAATCTGGTCAAGTTGTAAAAAGATACATAGGAACTGTATATTAATTATATATATTTGAAGTGAACAAGCTGAACTATATTATATAGATATGGGGTCTCACCATGTTGCCCAGGCTAGTATCAAACCTTGGACTCCTGGGCTCAAGCGATCCCCCTGCCTCAGCCTGCCAAAGTGCTGGGATTACAGACGTGAGCCACTGCACCTGGCCGGAATAGCTAAACTAAATGACAACAAGAGTAATTCTCACATTTTGTGGCTTCCCATGAGTGTTCTAAGAAAGACATTTATTTCCCAAGTTATAATAATAATAGATAGTATTTATCACACTTATTTTGTGTAAGGGTTTGTTTTCAAAGATTTTTACATGTATTAGCTTGTCTTTCGCACAGTACAATCTTATTTTATGAAGATAAAACTATGTAGGAGAGATATTTTAAAACTTGCCTAAATGTGAAGAGCTAACAAGCGATAGGGATGTAATTAAAATTTAAGCACACTGGCTAAAAGTCATTATGCACTGCTTGTGCCTCTTTCCTACTTACCAAGGATGACATATTTAAATTATTTAAGTTATTCCTTTTTTAGTCAAATTGTTTACCATGTGAGCTAGTTAACAAAAGAAGTAATGAAAAAACCTTGCTCTAAATACCTACAAAGGTTTAATATGGAGTATTTATGACAGAGAAATTCTTATAATGCAAATATATGCTTATGAGAGAAGTTTAACATTTGCCATTGTGAATACTTGGGATAAAACATGTTTAGAAAAAATGGGGAAAATTTCAACATATGCAAATCAACAAATGTGATTCACCACATAAATAGAATTAAAAATAAAAACCATATGATCATCTTAATTGATGCAGAAAAAGGCTTAGATAAAAATTCTCAACAAACTAGGCATCCAAGGCTCATACCTCTAAATAATAAGCATCATCGATGGCCAACATGATAGTGAATGGTGAAAAACTAACATGATACCAAATGGACAAAAACTGTAAACATTCTCCTTGAGAACTGGAACAAGACAAAGATGCCACTCTCATCACTCCTATTCAACACAATACTGGAAGTGCTAGAGCAATCAGGTAAGACAAAGAAATAAAAGGCATCCAAATAAACAAATAAAAAGTGAAACCATCTCTCTTTGTGGACAATATGATTATATACCTAGAAAACCATAATGGTTCTGCCAAAAGACTCCTGGAACTGATAAATGACTTCAGTGCAGTTTCAGGATACAAAATCAATGTACAAAAATCAGTAGCATTTCCATATGCCATTAGTGTTCAAGCTGAGAGCCAGATCTAGAATTCAATCCCATTTACAATAGCCACAAAAATAAAATACCTAGAAATACAACTAACCAAGGAGGTAAAAGATCTCTACAAGAAGAACTACAAAACATGGCTAAAAGAAATCATGGATAACTTAAACAAATGGAAAATCATTCCATGCTCATGGATTGGAAAAATCAATATCTTTAAAATAGCCACAACACCTAAGCAACCTACAAATTCAATACTATTCCTATCAAACTACCAATGACATTCTTCACATAATTAGAAAAAACTATTTTAAAATTAATATGGAGCCAAAAAAGAACCTGAATAGCCAGCACAATCCTAAGCAAAAAGAACAAAGCTGGAGGTATCACGTTACCTGTCTCCAAACTATACTATAGGCTACAGTAAGCACAACAGCATTGTACTGATACATAAACAGAGCATAGACCAATGCAACATAATATAGAACCCAGAAATAAAACTGCACACCTGCAGTCACCTGATCATCAACAAAGTTGACAAAAAAAAGCAATGGGGAAAAGATTCCCTATTCAATAAAAGGTGCTGGAATAACTGGTTAGCCTTATGCAGAAGAATAATCTGGACCAGTACCTTTTATCATATACAAAATTCAATTCAAGATGAATTAAAGATTTAAATATAAGACCTCAAAATAAGAATTCTAGAAGAAAACTTAGGAAACACCATTCTGGACGTTGGCCTTGGGAAAGAATTTATGACTTATTTCTCAATAGCAATTGCAATAAAACAAAAATTGACAAGTCAGACCTAATTAAACTAAACAGCTTCTGTGCAGCAAAAGAAACTATCAACAGAGTGAACAGACAATGTGTGGAATGGGAGAAAATATTTGCAATCTATGCATTGGAAAAATATCTAACATCCAGAACCTATAAAGGAACTTAAACAATTGAATAAGCAAGAAATAAGTAACCCCATTAAAAAATGGGCTAAAGACATGAACAGAAACTTCTCCAAAGAAGACATACAAGTGGCTAACAAACACATTTAAAAATTTTCAACATCACTAATCAAAGAAATGCAAATCAAAACCACGAGATACCATCTCATGCCAGTTAGAATGGCTATTACTAAAGGGTGAGAAAACAACAGATGCTGGAGAGTCTACAGAGAAAAGGGGAACGCTTATACACTGTTGGTGGGAATGTCAATTAGTTCAGCTACTGTGGAAAACAGTTTGGAGATTTCCTAGAGAACTTAAAACAGCACTACCATTCAACCCAGCAATCCCATTACTGGGTATACACCAAAAAGGAAACAAATTGTTTTACCAAAAAGACATAGTGCTTGTATGTTTATTGCAGCACTATTCATGATGCCAAAGACATGTAATCAACCTAGGTGCCCATCAGTGGGGAATGGAAAAATAGAACATGGTACATATACACCATGGAATACCACACAGCCATAAAAAAAGAATAAAATCATGTCTTTTGTAGCAACATGGATGCAGCTGGAGGCCATTATCCAAAGTGAATTAATGCAGGAACAGGGAACCAAATACTCTGCACATTCTCACTAATAAGTTTTCTAGAAGAAAACTTAGCAAACACAATTATAGAACTAAAAAACATGGCTAAAAGAAATTTTTGATAGTTCATAGACATAAAAATGGCAAAAATAGAGAGTGGACACTACTAGAGTGGGCAATGAGGGAGGGATGCAGGGGTTGAAATACTAACTATTGGGTACCGATATGGTTTGGCTCTGTGCCACACCCAAATCGCATCTTGAATTGTACTCCCATAACTCCCATGTGTTATGGGAGGGACAGAGTGGGAGATAATTTGAGCCATGGGGGCGGTTTCCCCCATACTGTTTTCATGGTAGTGAGTAAGCCTCATGAGATCTGATGGTTTTATCAGGGGTTTCCGCTTTTGCATCCTCCTCATTTTCTCTTGTGGCTGCCAAGTAAGAAGTGAATTTTGCCTCCGGCCATGATTCTGAGGCCTCCCAACCATGTGGAACTGTAAGTCCAATTAAACCTATTTTTCTTCCCAGATCGGGTATGTCTTTATCAGCAGCATGAAAACGGACTAATACAGGTACCATGGTGAGTACCTGGGTGATGAGATCATTCGTACCCCATACTTCAACATCACACAACACACTCAGGTAACAATCTGCACAAGTGCCCCCAAATCTAAAATAAAAATTAAAAAAAATAAATAAAAAGTATTATAGTTGTATTCAACACCAACAATTATAATTACACTAATTGAACAGATAATAGCTATGGAGTATGTTGAACAAGGAAAGAAAATAAGAAAAGTTTATACCTCAGATTGAGCATCATTTCAGAAAACAGCTCCAAAAGGAACAAAGCATTTTGGAAAGAAGCTATTTCCAGAACTACAGATCTCCACATTGGTAAAGAGAGGCTTAGAGTTCTCTCTTATTAGAGCTTTCGCTGTCTCACGCACACTCATCTTTATACCTATGCATAAATATCTTCTGTTTGACAATGATGGTTTCACAAATAGCAAATTAAAACAAAATAAAACTATGCTCCTGAGTGTAGCGATAGTTTACAATCCTATCTCTTGTCTAGAACTGGGTATAAAGTGAATTGTCTTGAGTGCTCTAAATTTGCTACTCAAAAACATTTTTTAATGAATTAAAAATCAAGATTTTCAACATATGACTAGAAAACTGAAGATGGTCTATTAAATATATAAATATTAAATATTAAATATTCTATTAAATATTGAATATTAAATTCAGCTTTTGCTGAAACATCTAGAAAAAGGACTTTCAATATTGTTTCTTAAGAAAGTCTCGACATTTTAGTCTTTTATAATAACTCATCAAAAATACTGCACAACTTGTGTAGGTTTCTGGATGGACACAAGGACACAGCGGATCTGGACTCAAGGGGATAGTTAAAACTATTCAATTCAATCTTTTATATCAAATATTTAAATAAAATTGAATAAGTTCTGGCTTCCACTTTGGTATATATAGAACTGGAATATGTAGATAATTGATATTAGTGATGATTCCAATCTTATGACAAAAAGGAAAAAAACTACATTGAAACTCATGACTTTCAACAATCTTATTGGAAAACTGAGTTCACAGAGTAAATAACTGGCTCCAACTCTAAGATACAGTGTCTCTAGAGAGAAAGCACCACACAAATGCATGCCCACCTAGGGTCGATGAAACTGGACACCAGTAAGAATAATTCAGCTAGGATTGCTGAAAAATTGAGATAGGCCTAGTGTGGGTTGTTAGAATAGTGTGGAAATACGTGGGTGCCACAAAAATTAAGAGTCTTTACTCTTTTGCAGGATCTGTCTCTGTTAACCACAGTGAGCACTCAAAATACAGATCAGAAAGAGCCACACAACCATTGAAGGCAATCACCCTGAAGGAGGACAAGAAATCTCACTTTTCCACCTACACCTCTTTTGTTTTATGGTTATTGCTTTAATCTAAACCACCCTGTCCTCCAGCATACTTTGCAATGTCAATCTATATGGCTTCCCCAGCTACCAAAATTCCAGAAAAAATGATATCACAATTTACTTTTTTTATATTTGGTGATTGGAATAGCAATAGTAGCAAGACTAATTTCTATTAAATAAATTATCAGAAATGATGTAGAATATGTCTTCCATTTCTGACAAAACAATAAAAACAGGCTGGGCAAGGTGGCTCACACCTGTAATGCCAGCACTTTGGGAGGCTGAGGCGGGCGAATCACGAGGTCAGCAGATCGAGACCATCCTGGCCAACATGGTGAAACCCCGTCTCTACTAAAGATACAAAAATTAGCTGGGCGTGGTGGTGCGTGCCTGTAATCAATCCCAGCTACTCAGGAGGCTGAGGCAGGAGAATCACTTGAACCAGGGAGTTGGAGGTTGCAGTGACCTGAGATGGCACCATTGCACTCCAGCCTGGCAACAGAGAGAGACTCTGTCTCAACAAACAAAACAAAACAAAAAACAATAAAAACAAATGAAGAGATGTGCAAGTCAGTATGGTGAATACATGTGTACACATACATATTCATGTACATACATGCCCTCATCTGCAGAGCAAAATCCCTTGAGTTACTCTCTTATCTCTACTTGGGTTGAATTTATGACCGTAAGTGACTGCATTATGTTGGGAAGGAGACAATGCCTGTAAGGTATCAAAGTTCTGTAAAAATCATCAAAAACTGGCATCTGTTCTTGCTAACATGCATTCCCTTCCTGTAGCAATTCAAGTTTTTTAAAAATAATTTTAAAATTGAAAACATTAAGGGAGTCATCCTGTTAAATGACAGTTATTTTTTAAAATTTTGTTTACAGCAAACTCATATAAAAGAAAAACTGAATCACACATGCCAGAGCAAAAAAAAAAAATAAGTAAAATTATAAGATATGAACCCAAGGAGAACCCTGAGATCTATGAGCAGATCCAACAGCTACAACATTGTCTGAGAACTAGAAAAGATTTAGAGGTCTTCTAAGTGCATATCCTTCAGTGCTGTTTCCTCTTGTTTTGATTTTTATTGTGATCACCTATCCACTGATCCAAGATGAAAACATTCCTGAGTCACCTGGCTTGTCATATACAGATAGAACTGGCATAATGACATTGGAACTGGTTTCTTTTAAATGTTTTTAGCAATCTTAAGTCAAATTATTTTGCGTTGCTTCTTAACACATTGTGGATCTGCACACATTCTGTACAGTCTGTTGCATTCTAATTCCCTCGTGTGTATAATGAAGTTACCGATGCACGGTTGCTGAGGCCTTTCTTGCTCTAACATCAATCCTCCAGTCTTCTTAGAATTCAAGTGTGTCATTCCTCATATGACTATTGAGTGTAAATAATATGTTTACCAGAGCCAGGGTCAACATAGCCCACTGGCTACAAACAAAGTAATAAAATTACTTCTATAAATTAAGGTTTATATAATACTTTATTTATACACATGGATTTTTATTAATCTTTCATTTTTTTTCCATAATTGTCTCCTCCTTTTCTCGTAGGTCTTCACCCCTATATTATAAAGCTGCCACCCTTTCCCCTGGGTATATTGTATATTATAACCTATACTTGTATATTATAATTGTATATTTGTATATTATAACCTATACAATATAAATGGTATAGATGTATTATACTATAATCTATTTAGTTGTTACTTATTTATTGGCTTTCATTTTTACTTATTTTCTTCTACTTTTGACCTCTTTTATTAAATATCTTTGTAAAAGGTGTCTGTATGTATTGGTATTCACAGTCAAGATCTGAGATTTCACCCTTCTTGCAGGCCAACAAGTTGGCCTATGGCAATTTCATGGGTTCTGGCAGAAGACATGAGGAAGTTATAATTCACAGTACAGCAGGCAACAGGAGCGTCATGCTCATGTCTATTTCTCTTCACCTCAAGTTCTACGTGGACTACAGTGAGGAGCCCAGGTGAATGATTTGCATGCAGCTAAGGAACCTCAATTTTAGGAAGCTCAAATATTTTATCAAGCTAACCTGCCTCATCTTTGACCAAAAAGATGTATTATTTTTATTATAATGCATATCACTTGTCTTTGTTCTATCACTATGTTACTGGAGAGTAAACAAACCTGCTCCCTACTCTGTAAGGAGTCTCTATCTCTGTCTTCCAATGTTTGTATTGTCACTCTATACAAACATTCCTGACAAGATAATCTAGGATAAAATGCTGACAATACTTAGATTTGCATGAGAGACTCATAAGGTTCTTGTTCATTCACTGTTTGGTTTTTTTCTCATGTATTTTTCTTAAGCGCAACATTACAGTTATTGTATATCTTTGATTGCCTTTCTCTAACAAGTCGTGATAGCTTGACTAGATAAGATTACAGGATGACAGCACTCATTTTACAATGTTTATTACATGATAATTTCTAATGTAGCAGTTAATGGGAGAAGTTTGATGTCAAAATATATTTTCCTTGTGAATTTTTTTGTATTGCATGAAAATTTTAAGATATTTTTTCTTTAGTGAAGTACTTATCTTGTACTTCTATTAATTATTGTCTTAAGGACACTTATTGTGTGCATTTTAATTCTAGAGATGTCTTCTAATCATCTTAACATTTTCCTCATGATTTCCATTTTATTACTCTGGAATTTGAAATATTTATTGTGATATGTATTACATACATATATCTAACACATATATAGAAAGAGGTATCTATCAATAAAGTATAACCCTGCAGAAAACCTTGCTGCTCTCCAAAATTCCTATATTCTCACAATGGCGAAGCAGGTCAAAGTAGGAAAGATTCAGCCCATAATCCCAACATTTGTGCTTTTTTAAAAATGAGTGTTAGAGTGAAACATAGTTATACATGCTTCTTGACTTCAGCCTGGGAATTCAAAGGTCATACACTTTCTTGTATGCTCTGTTCTCCAGCACCATTTCTAGCACCTTCATGAAAATATTTTCCACCAGTTTTATCCATGCTTTACTGCACACAGCACCTGTAGATCATAGCATTTATTGCACAATAAAAGAAAAGTATCTTAGAGTTTAGAGGAAAATGGAATTGAGTTCAGACCATCATGTTCTAGAATCCCTACACCATCTCAAAAGCTTTTAAGTATTTTCTTTCCATTTAATCTTTACATTATTTATAAAGAAATATCAGGGTTCATACACCAAATACAGAGAGGTTGGAACTACCAAATCTAGCACTTTATCTAGATAGTAATGATAATAAAAATAACCCAAACCCCTAAAATCTTATTTTTCACTATGCTACTTCTGACCAAGAGTGATAATTTAGTTTCATATAATCCTCTATGCCTATAAAAAAATACCAGAATTTATTTTTGGAGGTTTTCAAAATTTATTTTGTTTGCTTTCTTCCCACAGTAGAAGAAATTGTTTAAACATCATACTAATTAATATATCTGTTTCATCATGTATAAGAAAGAAATGAGGAATTACAGTCTGACATAAAGAATGTAATATGCCAAAAATATAAATAATTTATTTCATTTATCTAAATGCTTAATTAACAGAATCAGTTTAGCAAGCTCTACTGCTAAGAATAGAATATAATTTATTTTCTGCTTATTCTATCTCCAAGCAACTTTTACCCAGAGAGGATTAAATGTGATGGACGATCTTCTACCATAAATAGAGAATCCTTTACAGTGGAAGAAAAAGTCACAGTCCTTTTTAAAACAGCCTCCCTTGCTCTGTTATCAGGCACAATATACATCTCATTTTGTAGTAGCAGACTTTTAAGCCCTAGTAACTGATGTATCAAAATGTAAGCCTGAAATGTTACAGTGCTGCCTTTATATGATTTAGATCCATTTTAGGACCAAATATCTAACACTGGAGAGAGAGAGAGAGAAAGATCCCATGTAATAGATTTGTCATTTTTATGCTTTAGTTCAAAGCTATATGATTTTCTCTATCACTATCAATTATCTTTCAAAAGCTGTCAAATATGTTCTCTTGTACTTCCTATGCAGCCAGAAAATAGAAATAAGAAATGAGATTTCTAAAGGTAGATAAGTTATCAAAGCAGAGATGTCTTTGAATTAGATCATTCTTCCAGAACATAATGAATTTGAAATTCCCAGTAGCGTTTTGTAAGGTGCATTTAGCAATACTTACTTGGGGAATATCAAACATTGGGTGTCAGTTAGCCTTTTCTCATAGTCCACACTTTATACCACAACCTTAACATTAACTGAGAGGGGGGCAGCTCAGTCGGTATCTGGTAACACAGTGAGGAAGGATGTCTGTCTCTCCACGAGGTGAGCAGTTCTAGTGGCTATTCTTTCACATTTGTCAAAAGTCATCATTTTCTAGGACATAGTTCAAGGCAAGGACTAAATGAGGCTTTTACTAGCACAGAGGTAGTAGCTATGGTTCAGAGGCTTTTCTGTAAAGTTTGTTCATGTCCAAAGCATCAGCTCATTGGAAAGGGATTCTATGTAGCGTGATTTAACAGAAAACTGGGAAAGGATACAGAGAACTCTTCAACCTTTAATAAATAGAAAACACATTTACCAATGCAGAGAGAATCAAGCTATGAGGTTGATTTTTATCTATTATGCATTTCATATATTGTTACCAGAATGATTTAAGATCTCTTACAAGGGTGTATAAAATGGAAAGATAAGAGCGCTATTTCAGAAAAAAAAGTGGGAACAAAGTGGAATCAAGAAAGAGAAAAATAACTCACAAGCCTACTGCAGATAAACTGTAATAACCCACAAGCCTACTGTAGATCTAAAAATAGATCTGAGTGATAAATAAAAAAAGATTATAAGTTACAAAATTTACAATGTCCATGAGATAAAAAACAAAACAATTGCTAAGGAGAAAATACACTATACTTCATACTGAAATCAGATAGCAATTTCTCCTGGGGATCCTTATGAAAGGATGTTGAGATGCAAATGAATCAAGCACACCCAGAGTACCACAGTCCACTCTTAAGAGATGAGAATTTCTTTGTTTCAGAACCTTACATCTCTTGAGATAAAACACTATTATGAAATTTATAATCTAAAAAAATTCTTACAAATTGTCTTTATAAAATATATTTAACTTTCTAAAAATGTAGATTCATAGTTGAAATAAAATAAATCTTACTAAACCCACTTTAAATATTAATGTCATATTAAATTTAAAAAGCAAGGGTCATATATTACAGTAAAAGAAGATGCTACTAAATTCCACAATTTTTTTTTTTTCCTGTTAGGAATTCACCTTTAAAATCAGCCTTCTCTTTGGCCGAAGACATCTCTTGGTACCATGGATGTAGGTTCTATTTTGTTAATATCTCCTAGTTCTTGTCTATTCCTTAGAGCCAGCCCCACTGCCACCATTTGGGTTCCCATGATCTCTCTGTGGATCATTCCTCTAACTGCCCCTTACGTTCCAGTTTTGCCATAAGCTTTGTTTCTCCTTAATCATGTCTCTTTTCCACTTCCAGGTTGATTTTTCTAAATTGCAGATGTATTTATGCAAATCCTCTATTCAATATATTTTATGTGTTCCCATCGTGAATCACTTGCCACTTTATGATATGTTCCTTTCTTTCCTTTACAGATGTATTTGGAACATTAACTTCAAACACTCAGATAGTTTCCTCTTTTTCAGTCGTCCTGAACCACATGTACTTCCCTAATTTTGTCATTCTTTTTTTTTTGCATATTTTCTCTTTGCATATCCTATTGTCACTGTTTTAAATGTCTTTCTTTGCATTAATTTGAGTATGAATTGTCACCTTCTCTGAGATCCTTTCCCTGGTGTCACCAGTATGTATTGGCTTAGGTCGATGGGGTGCTGTCTTAGTCCCTTAATGTTTATTTTAGCCTTTATCTCTGTTAAAGCACCTTTTCTCTCTGCCTCCCACAAGACTGTGAGCTTTCTAGGGATGGCAAATATGTCTTTTTATTGTTCTAACTCAACTTCTTATAGCTTTTTTTTTTTTTTACAAAAATATGATCCAAAGATCCATCAACTTCTTATAGTTTTACTTGGATAAGAAGTTAATAAGTTTTACTAATGACAAAATCAACTGTCATATACATAATTCCTCAACTGGGACAGCCTGTATTATAAGGCTTGGCACATATATACACGTCTAATTCACACAATAACTGTGTGAGATAAGTAGTAATGTTATCTTTAGTTTATAGAGTTAAAAAAACTGACGAATGAAAGTTTAATCAATCTGTGAATCTAATACAGATGCCCAAAAGGCTAAATAACTGCAGTGATTAAAAAATTAAAATGTCTAAATGAAAAACTATCGTTCTTAAGCTCAGAAATGAAGACCTGAAAGAGGAATATCTTTTAACTACTTCAGCAGAAAAGGATTAGATACCTTAATTAACAAAGAACTTATTCAAATCCATGCAAACAAGATGAAATCAAATTAAAAGAAAGAGGAGCAAAAGTGGGCAAGGCAGATACTAATGATATGATAAGTAAAATTGCATCAATACATGGTAGCTAACTTTTATTTAATATAGGCATTTTGTGTGATAACACTGCCCTATAAAAATGGCCATGTAAGCAGAAGCTGTGCAAAGCAATCATAATCGATGGGGAAAATTACAATTGTTGTATGGCTTTTAATTTTTTTTGCCAATATGTTAATAACTCTCTTCATAGCATGAATGTAAAGAAAAATAAAATTAGTAAAATTAGCATTTACTTAGTAAATTGTAATTAAAAAATTAAAAATGAGAATTATTTCATTTCTTTGTAAAATATTATCAGTAGCTAGGACATTGCTTCCTTTTACCTCATGTTGTTTAATTTTCAACAGTGTGCTTCTATGCCTTGGCAAATTGTCATTCTCCGTTCTGACACTGAATCAGCTCCGAACATTTTATCCTTTGTGCTTTCAATGTTGTAAAATGCCTCTGAGAGTTCCTTTAATATGAAGTACTTTTGCCCATGTTACTTCCTTCAGGACATCTTCACTCTTTTTGTCACAACCATTTTATTCATGCATATTAATAACTATCTCCTTTAATTCCATTTACTTTATGATTCTAATTTCATTTTCAGAGTTATTTCTTTTCATTTATTTGCTGTACCTTCATCCTTCTTGTTCAATTCCCTCTTTCACTTATCTATTTTTATAAAGTGTCACAGGGGTTTATCTCTGGGAGACAAGGAGGAGACCCAACTATATGCTTTGCTGTCTGTGTGGGAACTGAATAACAGGTGCACAGTGACCAGTCAAGGACAGAATTTGGAAGTAGTGGTGGGAATGGCCACTGATCTTCATGCACATCTATTATTTATGTAGTTTTTTAGTGTCCTGAGGAGCTAGCAGAGAAGATTCTACTTTGAGCAAGTACCACAGTTAATATAATGTCATAACTGCAGTTGTAATTGTGTTTTGGGGAACTGATGCTATTTAAACCATGGTCAATGAAATTACTGCACATCAGAACCATGCAAAAATGAAAATTCTTATACCTACTATATACCACACCCTCTGCTTCCTAGTCACTAAATCTTCTCACAATGACAGTAAGCAGGCACTATTACTATTATTTGTCTGTTATCAGGATTCAAATCCAGTATCTTTGTTTGGGAGGCTGTGTTCTCAGTCACAATCCCCTATTACCTCTGATATTCTAAATAAATGAACACATTAATATATTAGGTATGAGGTTTTCTGTCCTTTGTGGTTTTACATTAGAGTTATATTATTAAATCCTCTGTGATTAGATGAATTAGTTTTAAAACCTCATTACCTGATAATGTTAGATACAAGTGAATAAAACATGAATGTCCATTTTTCAGAAAGAGACAAAATATACCAAACAAAACACTGTACAATGAGTGAGAAGATTAGTAATGCAACTTAGATTTTAAATTAATGTCATTCACTCCAATTTGATGTGAAATACCTGTATGCAAACCAAATTTTGTTTTCATTTTGTTTTTCAGTTTGTTTAATTTGTAGATTCTGAGAAGCTGTGATGAGAGAAAAGAGATCAAGGATATCCTTTATATTCTGATTAAACTGTGAACACTCTTCTAAAAAAATACACATACACTCAATATTTTGCATGTAATTTATGTGAACGCATTGACTCTTTGAAACCTGAAGATTTCCTATGAGATGAAGAGCCTAAGTCTCAGTTTCTTAACAGAACAAAGGATCATTTCTTTCTCCTCCTACAACATTTAGTGAATCTCGGCTGACTGGATTAGTTGAGTCTCCAACATGGTATGATGCAATTGTCTCAGCACTAGGATGCAGCATTTACCATGGAGGAGAGAACAGCATAGGTTAGTATGCAAGACCTCTAAAAGTTTCCTTCGCAAGAGACTGCAACACTATCGCTTACACAGCACTTTGAAAAACAGAATTTTAAACATTAGTATGTTTTTTGTTTTACCTCCTCCTTTCATTTCATATTATGTCTTGTATTTGATTATTTCTACTCCACTAATGAGTCCATATTGATTATCATCCATGTAGTTATGAAATCAACTAATATTTATGGGGTACAAAATATGCTAGTCATATGTCCTAGGTGCTGAGGATACACCAATGAACAATTCATACAAAGGGTATGTTCTCAAGAACCTCACAAGATGACAGGAGCATAAACAAGTAAAACATTTAAGTAAATATTAAATTTAGTATATTAGTATATTCACAAAAATTGATTACAGGGTGATATATTACAGAGAGATTGGTTAGAAGAAGAGCTTACTTAGCATCTATAGTGTGATGGGTCCCTGCCAGGTTACTTATTCAGCTTCCCAAACCCTGAAGGCCAGGCAGTAAGCCAAGGCCATGATGCCCAGCCAAGGAGCAGGTATCCCTGAGAACCCAAAGGAACTTACCAAGGAAAACAGTCCCATTGTACTCTATTAGAACTAACAAGGAAAACCGTCCTATTGTACCCTATTAGAACTAACAAGGAAAATGGTCTCATCACACATGCATGGTAGCCAAAAAACCAGAAAATTAGCTTAAAAGCAGCTTAGGAATGAGAAGCAGCCCAGATCTCTAGAGCCGTCCTGCTGCCACCCAAGAGTACTTCGTAAGTCTTAATAAACTCATCTCCTCTCCAAGCTGAACTTGGCCAAGTCATTCTTTGATCTCTCAGCTCCCTCCGAGTTTGAGGAAATACTTTTTTTTTTAAATATGATTGCAAGATTTTCTCCTTACAGCATCTTTTGAGGAAAAAATAATTTAAAGACATAATATTTAAGTTGAGATCTTTTGGGATAAGGGAAGAAATAGTCCAGGCTGAGAGAACAGCAAGTTGTCTCTATAAAAAGTCTCCTAAGTTAAAAAGACCCTGAGATGAAGAGATCCTATTTGTGCGTTAGGGAAAACCTGCACATGTTGGAATGAATTAAAAGTGATAATAAAAGAAATTTTAAAATCTACATCAAACACCTTCAGGATTCTGGAACAGAAATAGAAAAGGACAGAATAACTGATGTTAGTAAGTGGTTTATGAAATGGAGTTGGTGTTGTACAGGATATTTGAAGCAATTGAAAGTAAGTGATTGATCTAAAATATCTCTATAATGTGTTTTATATACACCACTCTGACTCCTTCTGAAGGTTTGTAAAGAGGTGTTTAGGGAAACAGTAGTAATACCACCACAAGGCTAATTTTATAGTTCAGACCAGAAATGATGGGGGTTTATGGTAAGGTGAAGGCAATGATAAGAGAGGGGTGAAGAAAGCTTAGAGAATGATTTTAGATAGCCCTATCTAATTTGCATTAGGAGAAAAAAAAGCTTAGTTCAAGTTAGTGACAAGTTATATTGATTAAAAATATTTGTAGAACCAATCACTGTTAATAATAAAGCTTCAAAGTTTTATAATGAATGTTTTTTCAGCTAAGCTCGTATATGTGAAAATATCAAGAAATTTCAATATGTACATTAGATGCCTACGCACTTTGCTGAAATGCTTTCTAAAGTTTTAGATAAATATTTCTTAGTATGAATTTTTTTTCATTTAATCAATTTTGCTCTCAAGTTTTAGATATAGTGGTCTATTTAGAAATAATTTCTTCTGTGATTTTTAGAACACATTTCTTACTTTTGAAAGCAAAATAGTTTTCTAAATATCAAGTAACTCATACATTATTCTCTTACACCTTCTTTAACTGATTTGGTTTATATAATGGATCTCATTTTTAGCCTTTATTTCTTCTTATCTAAACGTCTTCCATGTTTTAGTGGTACATATTTGAATACTGTGATTTTAGATGGCTTTTAAATGTTTTTAAATCATAAACATGCCATTGTAAATTTCACCAAAATATGTCAATGCTAAGGTGAAAACTTATCTTCATCATATATAAACTAAATTAATGACTGAGGCAAGAAATATTTGCCTAATAATTCAGTTCAGCAAATCTCACTGGAGAATGTACCCTGACAGGCATCGTACCCATTGCCGTAGGAGGCTCCCTGTGCCTGAGAGTCATTACTAGTCTTCAAAATTGAATTTACATCATTAACATAGTAATGATTCTCATTTTATTTCTTAATAGCATGTTGATAGTCGACAGGTAGATCGACCTCGCAATTTTTTCTTTCAAATATCATTTGTCATGCTCCCACCAGTGGCTACGATTTTCAGTGATTTTCTTGTCTCATACCAGTTGCTAAGTAACATGGAAAAGTACAGCTGCAGCTTCACTTTCTTCAAACTGCTGCTCCTAAATATGAATAAAACCACAGACATTCTATTTTTGTGTTCAGATCTCACTGCTTTCAAAGCTTCTGTGTCAGATACTCTGAAGCATAATGGTGAAGGAAATAAAACTTATAGACCAAATAATACTTGTAAAAAATATTTGCTTCCTTTTTTGTCTTAAGATGCAATAAGATTATTTTTCTTCTACCTCTAAGAATCAATTAGAGTCCTATAATGGACAAAATAAACTAAGAACAAAGAGGAATCATTACTTGACCTTGGGCAAATTATTCATTTCTCAATAATAATATCTGTGTTTCTTAATCTGTAACATTAGAAGTGGCTAAATTTGATGACTGTTCTTCTTCTTCCAGCTGAGTGATTCTATGAAGTAGTTGTGCACAACATCACTAAACCACCAAATGAAATTATTTCTAAATAAATTTCAAAAAAAATGTTTTTTTTTTTTTTTTCAAGACAGAGTTCTGTTCTTGTTACCCAGGCTGAAGTGCAGTGGCCCAGAATCTTGGCTCATCTCAACCTCTGCGTCCCCAGGTTCAAGCAATTCTGCCTCAACCTCCCTAGTAGCTGGTATTACAGGAGTCCACCACCACACCTGGCTAATTTTTATATTTTTAGTAGAGTTGGGGTTTCACCATGTTGGCCAGGCTGGTCTTGAACTCCTGACCTCAGGTGATCCATCCACCTCGGCCTCCCAAAGTGCTGGGATTACAGGCATGAGCCATCATGCCTGGCCAAAAATTGTCTTCTTATTTGTATTTCATCTCTACTTAGCTTACACAGAATATAGACTAAAGATATTTAAAAGAGAATTCTACTTCTAGTCTCTTTATAGTTCATTATACCCTCTATGGATAAGTGAAAATATTCACATAAAGATAATGTGAAGTAATGACCCTATGACAACGTTCTAAGTCATTTCTCTTTTCAACTTCTATATTAAGTCGAAGCTTCAGTTCAGCTCACTTCTTTGGGAATAAGCAAGATTGTATGTTACCTTGCCTTCTGTCTCCCTGAAATTCAAGTTCCTGATTGCTTTAGTAAGGGCTGTCTTGGTGAGAAGAGTTCTGGTAGAGTATGCTGAGTTTTTCAAATAGAATGTGTATCCTTGTCTGTTATGACTATGAATGCAAGTCTGTCTTTCTCCTTGGGTTGTGACTTCCTGAAAACGGAATGTTTTGTGCATTTCATTTTTACATTTTCAGGACTTAGCACAGTTTCTGGTGTTTTGCAGTTATTAAATATGTCCTTTTAACCCACAAATGTAAAAATGCTTTAGGAAATTTTATATATCCTTTGGCTAGTGAGGATACAGTTAGCAAATTACTTCATTTTGGAACAAAATTTCATGGAATATGTATCTTTAGGCTCTGTAACCTCAAAAGCAATCTAAGAGTTAACGTTTTATTTGTTTCCATATGGCATGTCTTTATTTAATTATAAAGGAAGGTATAAACAGAAAATAAGCAATCAATTATTTGAGACTCATCAACTTTCTGTTTTGCCATTGTGCTAGCACATGTGTGGTACTGGGAGTAATTGCAAAGGGAGTTATCCATTACTTCAAAAGAATTTTTATATTAACAGCAATATTTATAAAATATATTTTAGAATAGAATTAATTTATTACAAGACTGCTTTCACTTAATTTATAGTTAAATAGAATGTCTAGCAGCACCTTCTTTCCAAGTAGCAGTACGTTATATTCATATAATATAAATATATATATTATATATAAAATATGTGTCTGTAAAATAATCTCTGTAGAACTAAATAAAGGAACTAGCATCATATAAGATTTAAATAATTTAGTTTTTTTTAAATGATATGAGAGTTTACTGGCAAAATACTCATTCTTATTTCTACCTTAAACTCATTAAATACAATGTTAGGTAGGGGAGTAAAAGATAAATAATATAAATATTTTATCACAGTAAATGAATAAAGACAAACTCTTCTTTCTCAGTACACCAAATAGGCTCAGTTCCCACAAAATTTAAACCAAATTAAAAATACTTAAATAGATTATTTCCTACTTTCTTGTTTTCTTTTTCAAATATGTTGTTGTTTTGAATAGTAAGGTGTAGGTTTTCAACATTTTTTTTCTTTTTTAGATGATGGTTCTCTATACTCAGTAACAATTAAGTTGAATGAGGATTCTGCCAAAAATGTATTTTCTTGCAATATTGATTATTTTCTCTCACAAGTGTTTGGTCATTTTGAAATGCATTAATAATTTATCTGAACTATTTTATATGTTTTTTTGTCTTTGTACAATTTAATTTAAGGATACACTCTATTTTTTAAGTACAAGCATAATATCATGGAAGAATGTGTGTAAAATACATTATAAAATACAGTGTATACTTATCATAATTTTATAGTCTAACGTGAAGGAATTTTTTATATCATGAAGGCCAATTTGGATGAACTGAAAGAAAGAAACAAGAAAAGGGAAGGGATGGAAAAAGGGAAGAAACGGAAGAAGGAAGAAAGGAAAGAAGGGAGAAAAAAAAGAGAGGAGACAAAGAAAGATGGGAAAAAGAGAAATATGGGAGATTTCTCTTTTTTGTTTTTGTTTTTTGCTTTCTATTTTTAGCACTAAAATGTATACGAAGCAAACTAAATGTAACATCTTGGGCATAGCACTTACCCTACATATCACTTAAGCTAAGCCTCTTAATTTAGGAGAAAGATATATTTATTAATACGCTGGCAAGGTTACATCTCAAATATTACATCAGTATGCTTTTTACACATATCCCAGCTTCTTTTTCAGTAGGACCAGCAACAGCAGTTTTGTACACTATTCTAGCCTGATTTGGACTTGTCTCTGATTCTCAGTCAGCTGGTGTGTAGGATGAGGATGACTACTTAGGATGGCCTTGACTGAGACAACATAGTTCTGCTTCACATGGTTCCTCTTCCTTAAGATAATGAGTATGAACATGTTTTAATGGTAAATCCAAAGGAACAAAGGAAAAAATGGAAATGAGAAAGAACTTTTTCATCTTTCTGACTGCATTGCAAGTCTGCAATATTCTGTTTCCCAAACCAAGTCATGTGGAGAAAACTAAAAGTGGGCGTGAACTACAGGTTGATAAGAAAAAAGAGTATGGCTACAGAAACATCATAAGCTGTTCCAGCAATGAAGCCTATTACAGTCTTCAGAACGTGGAGGGAGTGCTGTTCCACTGAAAAAGGAATATAAAAGGGATCAAGGGATCAACATACTTGGATTTATTGGAATACATCCAAACACCTCTTTTTCTTTTCTTTGGCTTCCTTTCTTTACTGAACAATGCCCTAAATTTGACATAAGAGACCTGGAAGTGTTGTTGAATTCAATCTTCATTTTATTCCAGCCACCCATAAAATTAAAAACTGATTTTATTCAGAAAACTTGTCTTGTAGCTATAAGACATGATATATTCATTCAGGGTAGAACTAGAAACTTTTTTTTTTTTTTTTCTCAACCTTTATCTTGACCTGGGAAATAAAAGCTCAGAAAATGAAAGCCAACTGAGAACTGAAAAACCTCCTGGCACAAAGGACTCCATTCAACCCTCTGCTCTAAGAGACTTAATCAAACTCTAGTGTGGCTTCTAGCAGCCTAAAGCCCTGTCCTTGAGATGACCCAGCCCTGCTCCACCCCTTAAGTTTCTGCCTGAGAAGCTCAGTACTTCCAAAAGAACTCAGTTTGTTCCAGTCCAAACATGATAATAGGCTTCGGCTTCCCTTTTCTGGAAGTATTTGCTTTTAAGAAACTTTCCATTTTAAATCTTTCTCTGTCCCTTAGAGAAAGTTACATATTTTCTACAATGAAGGAATGCCTTTTTCAAAAACTTGGAAGCTATTTGTTTGAAATGTAATCTGAAGGAAGGATAAGAACAGTAACTCCCAGTTTCTGTGAGAGGGCAGAGGTTTAACTTCAACAAGCACTGGGTAGCAAACATGGCCTAATCATCCCTTAATGTCCACCAATACTTCTCCTTTAGTACAGCCTGTTGTTTAAATGGCCTCACATCTTTTTCTTTGACAGAGCTGAGTTTGGGTTCCCTGAAGCCCCTCCCCCACTGCAGTAGTGATAAATATAATCTGCCTATGGCTTTTAACTAGTGTTCAGATTTGTTTCACTTTGCCAGAGCCTGAAGGCAACGATTTAATCAAGGATGGGGACTTTCTGCTCAAAGGTTTGGTTGAGACTCTAAAATTTTAATTTCTTTTCATATCTGCTGCCGATTTCTACTAGTCTCTTAATCCTTTCTCATTTGTTTGATTTACACTTTATTTCTCTGAACTTATTATATATATATACTTATTTATGTTCTGTTTCCAGTAATTCAAATATCTGTGATCTTTGCTAGTGTAGTTTCATTGTTTCTATTCTTTCTAATTCTCTTCTCTGAATACTTGCTTTTTTTTTGTACATTTTGCATGTTGTGTGTCTGTGTTTATTTCTGATTCCTGTTTGTTGGAAAGCTATTTATGGGAATACATAATGACTTAATTGAGGACGCTTTTCTCTGGAACTATTTCCATTTTTTGGTTGATGAGATACTTAGGTCTTGGCAAAGATTCTTTGCTCTACCAAAATTTAGTCAGGCTTCTAAACCTTCTCTTAGTCTCACCTGTGTACTTCCTTGTAAACTCCAGTTTTAGATAAAATAAAAAATCTTTCACCCTTCATACATAATCATCCTCTGATTAACACTTCTCATGCCCCACCATCGGTATCTGATCACCTGGATTGCTTTCAGCAGGACACCTTTAGGTTAGTCCAGCCAGAATTTCCCCCAGAATTCATGTCTTCTTTTAGCAGTTTTCCATCCATCGACCCTCCTTCTCCTTGGCTATAAATCCCCACTTGTTCCTGCTGTATTCAGAATAGAGACCAGTTCTATACTGGAGTATCTTTTTTCTATTGCAATAGTCCTGAGTAAAATTTGTCTTCACCACTTTAATATCTACTTGCCTCTGTTTTGACAGTCAATGTTCAATTAACATATTTAACATTCAGTTTTTAAAGTACAAATGCCAAATACTCAAACCGGCAAACCACGTGTCAGGACATCATTGGTCATGAATTCTTATGGATGACTACTTTTCAACTTCCTGCCAGAATGAAGATTGAGACAAGTTCTCTGCTGAACACCACTGCTAAATATGTATTTTTTTTTTTTACTTCACTTTTTCCATGTCAGTTTTTCTGAGTTCCAATTCTATGCAGTATGATTTATAATTAGGCCTACTGTGTGTGGGTTCAATAACTTTCTTACTTTATATATCCATGAACCAAAGCATAGATAACTCAAGAGTACCAAGTATCTTCTGAACTTAGCAGTGTCAAAGCAAATGATGTGAGGCCATTTAAAACTAATAATGCATAGATAACCTGAGAGTTCTCATTTCTTGGTATTCTTGATCACAGTTTTTACTGATTTCAGAAATAAATTCTGTTATTTTATTTAAAGCACCATTAACCATTTTAATATTTTATTTTCTCTAGCACTAATTATTAGGGCTTTGCAGCAAGAATCCTTCAATATTTTTAGCCTATAGGAAAGCTAGAAATTAAACTTTTTTATAGTATTTGTGCTGATTAATCCATCAGCTCCTTCTATTAGAACATTGAAATTATTGCATTCTTTAAAAATGTCTTCCATTATTTCCTTGATAATTTATTCCTTCCTTTTACTCTGTTTTCTCTTTCTGAAACTCCTATTATTCAGATGTTGGATCTCTCAATTGATTCTGTAATTTATTTAAACTTTCTCTTCTAATTATTATTTATGTTTATTTCTTCTACTCTATTTTAGTAATTTCATTGCTTTTGAATTTATCATAATTTTTAAGATTCTATCTTAGTCTTTGCACACTTCTTTTTATAATATTATTTTTACTGAATCACATAGCCAGTAATTTTATTTTACCTTTGAATATATTAATTAGGGTCTCTAAATTTTTTCAAAGAATAACTTCTAAATTCTTATTAAATTTCTTTCCACCTGTTTATTGTAGATTCTGTATGTCATGTTAAACACCTGCCTGTAACTTCTGGTTATTCTTGCTTGCTTGTTCCTATTTAAGGGTAGGGTTTTAGAGAGCTACTGAGAAGTTCTTTTATTATTCCTGCGGAACACACTTATTAGAGTTGTTTGCAGGTGTGTGTGCATGTGTTTGTGTAATCTTATATTTGTTGAAAGTCTATGTGTAAGTTACTTGAGATTTTAATTTGTTGTTTTTCTGTGGGAAATACTGTAATTTGCTTTTAGAAGTTTCAGAGTCATCTACTAAGATTCATCAACTGATTTTAGTGATTTGCTTGAATATTCCTGACTGGCAGATTCTTTAGGTCTTTTGTCCATGACTTATCAAAATCCTCAGACTAATGTGTTATAATCTTTTTCCTGGAAAGCATAAGCTATGCCCCAGCATCCTGGGAGTAATATGCATGAAGACTTATCAATCAAAGACACCTGGTTTATGCTGTAGTAAAAATGATCCCAACATCTACATGATTTATACAAATTTTTATTTTGCTCTTATGTTACTTATTTTTGAAGGATCAGTACATATCCTTTCCATATCGTCTTTATTCTAGAACCCAAGCAAGGGATCTAACTTCCCATGGCAAAGCTTTAAATTGCATTGCTCAGAAGTTAAATATCTCATTTTCCTTCACATTTTATAGATCCAATCAAGTAACATGACCGAGCCTTTCTTGATGGCCAGGGAAGAATAATCCTTTCCCAGAGAGAAGCAGGAAATGTATGCCATTAATAAAATAATCTACCAAAGAGGACTGTTGATCTTATTTTCTGTTTGTAGATGTTTATTACTTGTTCTCTTACCTGTATCCTTTCCTGTTTTCTATGAGTGTGGAGTCATTCTTAGTTACCCTCTGGAAAGAACTAACCATTCTTCTCCCAGGGTTGTGTTAGGACAGTTTCTTAGCTGCTTAGGGTATGGATCATGACTCATGTCCATATGTTCTCTGAAGTTCTTAGGCTCAATCTCAAGACTACTTGGGGTACCAGAAATTATTTCCTGAGTTTAAATATACAAACAATGACAATGAGAAACTAAAATATATACCAGTGAATGAATTAAGTCAGATTTATTGTCAAATATATATATATATATATATATATTTATTTTATTTTCATTACAAATTGAAGGTGGCATAATGACAAGGATAAAATATATGATATAATTTAGAAAGCATATCTAGACAATTGATAAAAGAAGGAAGAAAGAGATAGCACAATCCATTAACATAACTGTGTCTCTTACTATCTTCCACCACTTTCATTGAAAGGGTTTTAGGTCATAGAAATGAAAAAGAAATATCATATTTCAAGATGATATAAGGACAATTTATATTAGCAAAAACTAAATGAAAATGTGATGACTGTGTTGGAAATCCTAAACTGTTTAGTTTAGATTGAGGTAAAGGTGAAGAATTAAGTTTTCAATTATATGTGAGGGGGAAGAAGAAAAGACGGCAGAAAATGTCCCTGAAGAGGCATGGTATAGTGGAGGTACAAGGGTGTGGAGGGCTCTCCCTCATTGAAGATGATGAGTACTTGATGCATGGGCTACTTCCCTAACACTCCCTAAACAGTAGCCTTATATAGTAAAGTTTTGGAATTCAGTAAAATAAAATACTGAATCCAAGCGTTGCCACCCACTTGTCCCGACATTGAAAAATGTACTTAACTTTGCTAATTTTTAAATTTATTTTATCAGAAAACAAGGATAATTATGTTTATGTCTCAGTGGCTCCATCTTCAAATACAATCACATTGAGTATCAGAACTTCAAGCTATAACACCAACATTCATCCCATAACAGCATCCAAAATGTCTGTCATCCTGTCTGGTGATAATGTCAATTTCTATGACTAGTCAAAGAAATTCTCCAGATGGAAATAGTTTAATTTAAATTCTATGGGCTCATGTAGAATTTTTGTTTTTAATCTAGACTCTGACATAATAATATATAATTTTCCAGAAATTATTAACATTTTCATGACTTGTTTCTTCAAGTATCTTATAAAGAAGAAATAGAAATCTATAATTAATTTTTCTTTCAATAGTGTAAAATTTAAATTTTAAGTTCCATTTTATGATTAAAAATGTAGGTCACTGTCTACATAAAGTTTGAATTTTTTTCCATAATATATTTATTTTATATTAATTGTAATTTGAAAGTTAACATGAAACTAGAAATGAAGAAAATATGCAGAGATAAATTTTCAAAATAGCTCAAAAACCTTCAGTGCTCTCTTTAACATGTTTTAAACATCTTTTTTTCAAGGTAGAAGGTGAACCTTTGTCTTATTTATTAAAAATACAAATTATCTTTTTAGATTTGCTATACATACACAGAGATAGTATTTTATCAAACCACTTTATATCATCAGTACATAATAACAAAACTTGTATCTATGATTCATTAATCTAATAACAAATAATTGTAATGAATTCCAAATTTGTTTAAAAGTATTTTTTACAATTTATTTTAATAACCGTATCTAAATGTGATATCAATTTCAATACATTTTTTCGAAAGTTTCATTATATTCAAACAAATCAGAAGGCACATTTTTGAATAAACAGTAATTTCAACTATACAATCTTTATAACATTTTTGAAACTTCTTCCTGTTATGTCATCCTGATTTTCCTCTTCCTTCTTTCTCTTCCTCCTTCACTTTTTCTTCCTCTCTCCATCTACAACCACACAATACATATATTTCTTTATATTTGCCAGACACATTATTTCAAAACGTTGCCAAGGAAACATTTTTTTTTTTTTTTTGGCATCAGATCTATGCTAGAGTCTGGATCAACCAGTTAAATCTATGACTTAGGAAAAATCAGTTCCTCATTCAGAAACTATAGTTTAAATAAATAATAAGTAAAAAGCACTATTCTTATAATATTTAAATTATGTTAGTGTTTACTGAACTATCTGATATCTAACAGGCAGTTGAAATTGTTGAAACTGGGAGATAAACATTAGGGAGTTCATTATAGTATGTTCTCGTGTGCTATAAAACATATCCTAAATAAAAGTAAAAGCTTCTAAGACAAAAAATGTGTACATAAGCATTGAATGTTGTCCTCAGTTTATCTCCACTCCTCACACTTGATGTTTCTCAAAAAAAGTAGGTAGGCATTATATGTAGTGGTAAGTGATATAGTCTTAGGAGATATGGTCTGTCCCTAAGTATATATATGACCCTGAAAAGTTACTTACCATTTAGAAGTCTTTTTGGCCATTTTGAAGATAAAGAAAGGTGACAAAATTTCATAATTCTTCAGATTAGAAAAATTATATTTCTAAGTCATATAAAATTATCCATGAGAAAATTATAATAATTCTAACCTTATATATCTCATGCTCAATTCAAAATTAGCATGGGAACGTCCAACTGTAGATGTTTGCTCCAAACCTGCGATTCATGCTGCATCCTAAACTCAATAAGTGGTTTTAAATTGTGTCCATTTTTTTCAGATCAAAATTGACTCAAATGTATTTAGCCCGAATCACAAAATAATTTCTTAACACTATCAATTCTCAACACAATTACTATTCTCACCTTCCTCAATTTCTTGCCAGGTTGTTGTGGCAGAGTTTAGTTTCTCTGCTTGCAATTTAATCCATTTTTAGTCTGATTTTCTTAAGATAAGTAGTGTCATCCTTTCAAGTCATTAGTAATGTAAATGCTAGGTTCAAAATCCTCTGATTTCTCACTATAATTAGAAAAAAATTTTAAAACTATGAAACCATATAAAACGTATATATTATCATCTGTCATTCATTCTCCAATTTAATCTCTTCTCTTTACTGACTGTGTGGCAATGACATGTCAAATACATCCTGTCTCATGTCCCTTGCACTTCCTCTTTAATCCTCAGATGACATATTCGTATGACTTGCTTACTCACATAATTTGCATCTCTATTTTAAATGCCATCTTTTCAATAAAGATTTCACTGGCTCTGTTACCTAAGTTAGTATTCCCTTATACTGGATCTGATTTCTCTGCTATTTTGCATATATCATTTATTGCTGCATAAGATTGTGATATATGTAATTGTTTATAAATATATTGTCTTTCTATGTAACATTAATGTGAGCTTCATGAAGAGAGAGAATTTTTTGTTGTTGTTGCCAATTCTATCTTTGTTCCCTAGGACAGCACCTGTTGCATAGTAAATCCTTAAAAGTTTTGTTAAAGTTTTCTATAAAATAACTTTAACTTTTATTACATTATCCTGATATGTAATAGAAGGCTCAAATTTAAAAGTGTGTGCTTTATATTTTGCTGGGCATTGATTAACATGATAGCCTTTAATCTCTACATGACTCTTTCTACATTAAATCTGAGTTGTCTCTAACATATAAAGGAAAACTCTAGTAGAGTCAATAAGATGTCAAGATTTCTACAAATGATATAGTTTGTAAAAAGAAAATACAAATTAAGAATAAAAGCCTTAATTCTTCCTGCTGAAAGAAAGGGGGAATTGTTCCCTTCTCTTCTTTTTCTTAGAGATTTTTACCTTGAAAAATTTGAAATTGTATTTTGAAAAAGTATTTTCTCCTCTGAACTATATAAAGTCATGCACTGCATAATGACAACTCAGTCAACAACAGGCTGCAAATATGACAGTGATCCCATAACATTATGAAGCTGAAAAGTGACTATTCCCTAGTAACATTAGAGCTGTTGTAAAGTTGCAACACAATGCATTCCTCATATGTTTGCGGTGATGCTGGTGTAAATAAACCTGAGCATTCAGTTGTATAAAAGTATAGCACACGCAATTATGTACTGTACATAATGCTTGATAATAATAATAAACTGTTACTGGTTTATGTATTTACTATATATCTTCTCATTACTTTAAATTGTACTGCTTATACTTATAAAAAAATGACTGTGAAACAGCCTCAGGCAGGTCTTTCAGGAGGGATTCCAGAAGAAGACATTGTTATCATAAGAGATGACAGGTCCATGTGTGTTATTGCCCCTGAAGAGCTTCTGGTGGGACAAGATGTGGAGGTGGAAGACAGTGATATTGATAATCTTGACCTTGTGTAGGCCTAAGCTGATGTGCTTGTCTTTGCCTTAGTTATTAACACAAAAAAGCTTAAAAAGTTAAAGAAAAATTTTTAAAAATTAAAAACAAGAAAAAGTTTACCGAATAAAAATTTTTGTACAGTTGCACAATGTGTTTGTGTTTCAAGCTACAGTGTTATTACAAGAGTCAAAACTCAAAGGTTCAAAAGTTTATAAAAAGTAAGCTAAGGTTAATATATTACTGATGAGAGAAAAATATTTTCAGTATATGTAGTGTTGCCTAAATATACAGTGTTTATAAAGCCTATAGTAGTGTTCAGTAAAATATTTGTAATAAATTTAGTGTAGTCTTAATTGTGCAGTGTTTATAAAGTCTACTAGAGTGTACAGTAATATTCCAGGTCTTCCCATTCACTAACCACTTATTCACATACCCAGAGCAATTCCACTTATGGTATGTACTATACATACCACTTTAATGTTTTGTGCCATGTTTTCATTGTATCTTCTCTATGTTTAGATATATTAGATACACAAATAATTAGTATTTGTTACAATTGCTCAAGGTATTGAGTACAGTAACATGGCTGTAAAGTTTTGTAGCCTAAAAGAAATAGACTATACCATAAGCCTAGGTATGCAATAGGTGATAACATCTAGATTTGTGTAAGTACATTCTGTGATGTTTGCATAATGACAAAATCATCTAATGATGCATTTTTTAAAATACATCTCCACCACAACTTGGGAAATATATGTATACTTTGTATATATGAATAATTCATATATACGATCATGAAAGGATATATTTCAAAAGGATATATGTATTCATTCGAAAACTATAAGGCCTTTTGTCACCTTTATGTCCCAGGATTAACTTTCTCAAGGACTGAGAGAACTATTTGAAATGTAATAAAAGTGTAATCAAAAAAGACAGGGTCCCTATCTCCAAGACTCCGTGGGAAGGTTGGAGCCTAACATTGGTGAGGTACTGACTCTAACTTGCAAAACTACCTCCTGTCATAAGGATACGAGTGATTTAGATAAAACCAATTAGCTAACACCTAGATTTCAGAGGATGTATAGAAATGCCTGGATGTTCAGGTAAAGGTGTGCTGCAGGGGCAGAGCCCTATTGGAGAACCTCTGCTAGGGCAGTGTGGAAGGGAAATGCGGGGGGGGTGGGAGCCCCCACACAGAGTCCCCACTGGTGTACTGCCTACTACAGATTTTCAGGGGCCACATTTGAGGACAAAAAATGCTGGGGCAAACAGTATTGAAAAAAAATGCAAGTTGATAAAAGTCTTTGAAATAGTGGCAAATTAAAATTTAATATTCATAATCACTTTTCCCAGAATTACCGTTATATTAATTTTGTGAGTACAGCTAGAGATATTGGCAGGACGCTGATGCTAGGTGATAGAGAAGCCAGTGTAGGAAGATCGCTGGAGCTGGGAGGTCGAGTCTGCAGTGAGTCAAGATAGTGCCACAGCACTCCAGCTGGGGTGACAGCGTGAGACCCCATCTCAAAATTAACAAATAAACAAAATATTACATAAACCATGAACATTTTAAAGTAATAATCTTTTTAATGTACATGTGAATTTCACATAGATGAAATTGATTCTCCCTCCATTAAAATAAATAATATAGTTGGCATGCTTAGCCTTTCTACTGTCTTCTTCCGATTTTCCCATTTTCTATAATTATGTCATCATTTTAAAATTTACAACTGTTAAACTTATTATCTTTTGATGACTTGATTCTCATCAGTGTGCTTGGTCTTAGTAAAATATTTAGATTATAAAAATTTCTAGGCTGGGAATGGTGGCTCACGCCTGTAATCCCAGCACTTGGAGAGGCCGAGGAAGGCAGATCACCTAAGGTCAAGAGTACGAGACAGCCTGGCTAACATGGCGAAACCCTGTCTCTACTAAAAACACAAAAACTAGCCAGGTGGGGTGGTCAGTGCCTGTAATCCCAGCTACTGGGCAAATCGCTTCAACCAGGGAGGTGGAGATTGCAGTGAGCTGAGATCTTACATCTGCACTCCAGCCTGAGCAACAGAGCAAGACTCCATCTCGAAAATTAGAAATCTAAACTAGAACTTTTATCATGAAAAAAAATTATATAAAAAGATAGAATTTTATCATGTTTTCCTACTTCTCAGATTTTTTAAGAATTCTCATCCTTGTTGAATTAAAAGTTTGTTTTATTGTTTTATTATTTAGAAAAAATCTCATAGATGTTGTATTCTCTGACTTCCACACATCAAAGGACATTATGTGCTTTACACTGTGAAGAAAATTGGATGAACTTTTAAATGTTCTCTTTGTTGTATAGAATTTTTTTAAAAATTATACTTTAGGTTCTGGGGTACATGTGCAGAATGAGAAGTTTTGTTACATAGGTATACACGTGCCATGGTGCTTTGCTACACCCATCAACCCGTCACCTACATTGAATATTTCTCCTAATGTTATTTCTCCCCTAGCCCCTCACCCCCTGACAGGCCCCAGTGTGTGATATTCCCTTCCCTATGCCCATGTATTCTCATTGTTCAACTCCCACTTACAAGTGAGAATACGTGGTGTTTGGTTTTCTGTTCTTGTGATAGTTTGCTGAGAATGATGGTTTCCAGCTTCATCCAAGTCCCTGCAAAGGACATGAACTTATCCTTTTTTTATGGCTGCATAGTATATCAGCAGGAAACCAAGTCAGGAAGACATTCAGTTTAAAACTAACCCTAAAATTTATATAGAACTACCAAAGACACACAATATCTGAAGCCATCCAGACCAAAAAGAACAAAGCTGGAGGCATCACATTGCCTGACTTCAAATTGTACTACAATGCTCTAGTAACCAAAATAGCATGGTACTGGCATAATGTTAGACACATAGAACAATGGAACACAATAGAGAACCCAGAAATAAATTTACTCATTTACTGTCAACTCATATTCAACAAAGTCTACAGCATATTCTGAGGAAAGGACAATCTCTTCAATAAATGCTGCTGGGAAAATTGGATATCCACATGCAGAAGAATGAAACTAGACCCTTATCTCTCACCATATGCAAAACTCAAGTCAAAATGTATTAAAGACTTAAATCTAAGACCTAAAACTATGAAATTATATTAGAAGAAAATATTGGGAAACACTACAAGACATTGATCTTGGCCAAGATTTCTTGATTAAGACCTCAAAAGCACTTGAAGCCAAACCAAAAATGGAAAAAGGAATCATACCAAGCTAAAAAGATTTGGCACAGCAAAGAAAACAACCAATAAAGTTAAGAGAATACCCATGCAATGAGGAAAAAAACATTTGGAAACTATCCATCTGACAGGGGATGAATAGTTAAAATGAGCTCAAACAACTCAATATAAAGAGCACAAACATCTCAAAAGGAAAAAATAATATGTTTGAAAAATGGGCAAAAGATCTGAATTGACATTTCTCAAAAGAAGACATACAAATGGCTAACAGGTATATAAAAAATACTCAACATTGTTGATCATCATAGAAATGCAAATAAAAACTACCATGAAATGTCATGTCACTGCAGTTTAAATGGCTTTTATGCAAAAGACAGGCAATCGTGAATGCTGGCAAAAATACATAGAGAGATGAACTCTTATACGATGTCAGTTGGAAAGGAAATAAATAAAGCCACTATGGAGAACACTATGGAGGTTTCTCGAAAAAAAAAATACGTGGTAGCCAAGGAGTGGTTACTGCAGGCCTTGTGTGAGACCCAGTGCTGGACTGGCTTTAGATCTAACTCAGCAAAATCCTGGTGGTAGTGGTGCTTGTGTCACTCTACCCCCCAGCTTCAGGTGGCTCAGAACAGAGAGAAGGAGAGACTGTTTGGGAGAAAATAAGGAAAGAGAACGAGCTTTTCTTCTTGGTAATCCAGAAAATTCTTCCAAATTGTGTCCAAGACCATCAAGTTAGTATCTCTACTAGTCTGGAAAAAAAAAAACAAAAACAGCATTACTGGGCTTATGTGCCCCCTCAGGCAGATGCAGATGCAGCTTAGATCACAACACACCAGTCCTTTTAAACATCTGGAAAGCATTCCCAAGAAGTAAGGGTACAAATAAGCCCAGACTATGAAGACTACAATAAACACCTAACTCTTCAATGCCAAGACAAAGACAAACATCTACAAGTATCAGGACCATTCAGGAAAGCATGACCTCAATAAAATGAACTAAGAAAGACAACAAGGAGAAATCCTGGAAAAACAGAGATATGTGGCCTTTCAGATAGAAATTTCAAAATAACTGTTTTGAGGAAACTCAAAGAAATTCAAGATAACACAGAGAAGGAATTTAGAATTCTATCAGATCAATTTAACAAAGTGATTCAAATAATTAAAAAGAATCGAGCAGAATTCTGAAGCTGAAAAATGCAATTGACATACTAAAGAATGCATCAGTCTCTTCACAGCAGAATTCATCAAGCAGAAGAAAGAATCAGTGAGCTTGAAGACAGGCTATTTGAAAATACACAGAAGAGACAAAAGAAAAAAGAATAAAGCACCCCTATAGGAGCTAGAAAGTGCCTCAAAATGACAAATCTAAGATTTATTGACCTTAAAGAGTAGAGAGAGAAAGAGATGGGGTAGAAAGTTTAAGACCAGGCAGCACTTTGGGAGGCTGAAGCAGGTGAATCGCTTGAGGTCAGGAGTTGGAGACTAGCCTGGCCAACATAGCAAAACCCTGTCTCTACTAAAAATACAAAAATTAGCCGGGCGTGGTGGCTCACACTCGTAGTCCCAGCTACTTGGGAGGCTGAGGCATGAGAATTGCTTAAACCCGGGCACACGGAGGTCACAGTGAGCCAAGATGGCACCACTGCAAGCCAGCCTGGGCGACAGAGTGAGACTCTGCCTCAAAAAAAAAAAAAAAAAAAAAAAAAAAAGTTATTCAAAGGGATAGTAACAGAGAACCTCCCAAATCCAAAGAAATATATCAATTGCCAAGTAGATAGTTATAGAACACCAAGCAGATTTAAACCAAAGGAGATTACCTCAAGGCATTTGATATTCAAATTTCCAAAGGTCAAGGATAAAGAAAGGATCCTAAAAAGCAGCAACAGAAAAAAATCAAATAACATATAATGGAGTTCTAACACATCTGGCAGCAGAGTCTTTAGTCGAAATCTTACAGGTCAGGAGAGAGTGACACGGTTTATTTAAAGTGCTTAAAAAAACAAACAAACATACAAACAACAAAAAAAACCTTTTACCATGGGATAGTCTACCTGGCATAAGTACGTAAATATCCTTCAGACATGAAGGAGAAATAAAGAGTTTTCTAGACAAAAAACAAACAAACAAAAAAAGTCTGAGAGATTTCATAAACACCAGACCTGTCTCACCAAAAATGCTATAGTGTTATTCAATTGGAAAAAAAAGTATGTTAATGAGCAATAAGAAATCATCTGAAGGTATAAAACTCACTGGTAATAGTAAGTACACCAACACACACACACACACACACACACACACACACACACACACACACACACAGAGAGATTATTATAGCATTGTAACTGTGGTGTGTAAAGTACTCTTTATAAAAAATAGGCCATTTTAAGAACTTTGTGTAAACATATCTCGAGTAGCAAGACTAAATGATGAACCAATCAACAGTAATAACTATAACAACTTTTCAAGACACAGACAGTACAATAAAATACAAATAGAAACAATAAAACTTATAAAGCAGGGGAACTTAAGGTGTAGAGTTTTTATTAGGTTTCTATTTGCTTATTTGTTCGTTTATGCAGACAGTGTTAAGTTGTTATCAGCTTAAAATAACAAGATATAAGATAGTGTTTGCAAACCTCATGGTAACCTCAAACCAAAAAATGTACAATAAACATACAAAAAATAAAAAGCAAGAAACCACATTATGAGAGAAAATCTCCTTCACTAAATGGAGGACAGGAAGGAAGGAAAGAAGGAAGGGAGACCACAAAACAATCAGAAAATAAATAATAACCAATATCATCTTAAGCAAAAATAACAAAAGTGGAAGAATCACATTACCTGGCTTCAAATTGTACTACAGAGCTATAGTAACCAAAACCACATGGTACTGGCACATTAGACAAGTAGAGCAGAATGGAGAACCCAGAAACAAATCCACACACATGCAGTGAACTCATTTTTGTCAATGGTTCCAAGAACATACACTGAGAAAAAGATAGTCTCTTCAATAAATGGTGCTAGAAAAACTTATTGAGTAATACCCCACAAGCAAAGGCAATCAAAGCAAAAATAGACCAATGGGATCACATCAAGTTAAAAAGCATCTGCAGAGCAAAGGAAAGAAACAACAAAGTAAAGAGACAACACACAGAATGGGAGAAACTACTTGCTAGCTATCCATCTGACAAGGGATTAATAATAACTTAAATTTTTAGTGAAGAGCTCAAACAACTCTATAGGAAAAAAATCTAATAATTCTATTTCAAAATGGGAAAATATTTAAATAGACATTTCTCAAAAGAAGATATACAAATGGCAAACAGGCGTATGAAAAGGTGCTTGACATTATTGATCATCAGAAAAGTGCAAATCAAAATTACAGTGAGATATCAACTCACCCTAGTTAGTACCCTAAAACTTAAAGTATAATAATAATAATAATAATAAATTAGTGTATTTCTTGCATGCAAGATTGATTTAAAATTTTTAAATCATCAATTTTATTTTTAACATTAACAAAATAAATTATACTATTATTACCAAAAAACAAAATGGCTTTTATCCAAAACACAGGCAATAACAAATACTGGCAAGAATGTGGAGAAAAGGGAACTGTTGTACACTGTTGCTAGGAATGTAAATTAGCACAACCACTATGGAGAATAGTTCAGAGGTTCCTCAAAAATCTGAAAATAGAGCTATCATGTGATCCAGCAATCCCATTGATGGGTATGTACCACCCCTGCAAAAGCATGCACTCCCTTATTTGTTATAGCACTGTTTTTTTAGCCAATATTTGGAAGCAACCTAATTATCCATCAACATATGAATGGATAAAGAAAATTTGGTACATATACACAATGGCGTGCTATTCAGCCATAAAAAAGAAAGAGATCCTGCCGTTTGCAACAACATGGATGGAACTGGAGATCATTATGTTAAGTGAAACAAGCCAGGCACAGAAAGAAAAACATCACATGTTCTCACTTATTTGTGGGATCTAAAAATCAACATAATTTAATTCATGGAGATAGAGAGTAGAAGGATGGTAACCAGTGGCTGGGAAGGGTAGTGGGGGTGTATGTTCAATAAATATAGGTTTGAAACATTATTCTGTAATACCTTTTCTTATAATAAGAAAAATCTCTTCATTTATAAATATGTGGTTCTTATCATCTCAAGAAATATATACTGATGTCTCCAGAAAATTAATAATTTTTACTTAATTTCAGGAGGTTTACAGAACCTGTATAAACCATTTGTGAACTATTTTCCATGGGTATTCAGAATCCATGTTACTGACAAAGAGATTGAGATCCATATGTGAAAAATTAATTTAAGTCAAGGCCTGTCCCATTATCCCCTACAGTAGCAAAGCCAGGCCAAATGTAGGACCCTATGCCTTAGCACTAGTTTCTTTTAAATTTAATAAATTGGCATCCATCTTTTATAGACACTATCTAGAGAAAAATAATAACTGGTGCATTAACCTGTATAATTCATAGTATGCTTTCACAAACAAACTTTCATTTTATTCAAATTTTTGAGTTACAAATTTTTTTTTAGCAGAAAAGGAAATGGAGGCTTGAAATGTAATAGCACTCTCAAGAAAACTAGTAAATAAACTAGTAAATTCCATCTTAAAATCTGACAACTATTCTAGTGGATCCCAAATGCCAATCTGTTTATCTATACTTGATTATACAAAGATTTTACCTGTCACAGAGAAAAAGGAACAGCAGGCAGAATTAAATGGAGGTTTCATAAAGCTAGAGGTGTATGCTTTCAGAATTGTCCTACACGTTCTACATAACTTCCATTATTAATGATATTTATACTAAGGCATATATACATAAGAATTCGTTTACGTCTCTGTGCATGTGCCTGTATGTGAATAAAAATTCACTTAATTAGTGGCAAAACAACACAATGATAAGAAAGTACATTAATAGCAAAATAAAATGTTGTCAACCCTAAACCTGAGTCTTGGTTTGTTTTCCAACATACAGAGCTCCAAATCCCGAGTAATATCTTCTATGCTACAGATGTCTAAAATTCATTCACTTAACATCAGCCTAACTGGGTTATTGCCAAATCTGCTTGTCTCTCTTTTCCTCACAAAAACTCATGTAAATTTTTGACTTAGCCTAAACTTAAGATATATAATTGCATAAATATCATTTACCCAATACATCATTAAATCCAGTCCAAACCTGAGCAAATCTGAATTGGTGATCTCCTATTAATAATTATTGATCTTCAATTTTAAGTAATAAGAAGTCACTTTGAAATAAACCTTGCTAATCAATGTCATCTCAGATATTAATTTTACTTCCTATTGCTCACTTCATGAAGTTTTGGCTCAATATATCTTGCTATTTTCAGATACTCCTTTATTCCTCCATTTAGCTGAAAGCCAGGAATTCTTATATCCTTATCTACTGTCAGTAAAATGAAATCATAGTTTGATTTTTTTATTTTTAATCATCTGTTCAGAAAACATTTACAACTAAGAATATAGAGATGATAAATTATTTTCAAAATATATTCAATAATTTTGGGCTGTTTTCCAATACTTGACTTTTGAGGAACATGTTCAAAAGTACTCTTTATATTAGAAGTCTGCTTATTTTAAATCAATAAATATTGAGTATTAGTCACATAATTAAGAAAGTCGTATAGCCAATATGTAATTTTTCTTTCTGGTACAGTTGCATTGGCCTGTTTTCTTGTTTGTGTTTCCTCAGCTACTTACATCTTAATGCAAGAGCAATCAAGCTCACTTTTGTAGTAATCACTTACTCGTGTAATAAAGTCCAGAAAAACCAATGTTTTTATTTTAAAAGATGTCTTCAGTCTAGTTAAATGTTATAGTCACAATGGACTAACACGTGTTTTTTAAAAATTGCAATTCTGCTTTACTTTGAGTTAAGGAACTCTTACTATGTTTTTTTTTTTTTTTTTGTAGGAGAACTTAAACATGCACTTTTAATTTCAACATTATGACACTTTTCGAATTACCTTGATGTAAGAATTGGCAAATAACATGCATGTTAAAACAGATGTAATTTGAATGTAAGCGCTTAGATACTCCATTACCAAACAAAGCAAAACAGGAGAGGGCAAGTCGATAGACAAGACCGTTTTTTTCACTGATGTATTTTATTGATGCCTGCAAACCAAATTTGAATATAAACTAGATCTCACTGTTCTTGCAAGGTAACATAAATTGCAGTTTCAATATATAATTTCTATCTCTGCATTTATAGGGCATGAAGTGTACATGAATGGATTGGAAATGATTATGCCAAGAGAACCTTCTATGTCCTATGTGTACAGTATCTTTGGGAAGACTTAAATAAAACACTGACTTATTACACTGTTACATTAACCAAAGTTAATTGGACTTGGAAAGGGTAGCTCAAGAGGAGCAGCAGACTCTTAAGAGGACAGCAAGGTAGGCTTGCTCAATAGCTCTTAGGATGTTTAAATGTGATGCATATAAAAAATGCAATGCTCATAGAATGTAAGCAATTAGTAATGAGTCACACTTTCATCCCTCCCTGCCTTGCAAAACCACAAGAAGTTAAAACCAGTACCCGATATACTCTAGTTAAGGACAGCAGGTAAAAATCATGCAAACTTGGCTAATTTCGGTTTGAACCCGTAACTTATATCAGAGAGCCCTTAGTGTTGTTTGACCTTTCTACACTTTATTTCAGGCTACTTAGTCTCCCATTATCCTATAAATCTATTTTACATTCTCCTCTCTCCAAATCCTCCTTCCTTCAAATCCTGCTCACTCTCAGCTGGAGTTTGTTTCTCATTTCACTGTTAAAACAAAAGCCATCGAAGGCAATTACATTATATAAGTTAAAAAAGGAATTAGCATCCTGTACCTTCCCAAATTGTCACTGGAAAAAAAATAGTTTCTCTCTCTCCCTCCCTCTCTCTCTGTTCCTCTCTGTCTCTCTCTCTCCTTCTCTCTCTCTCTTTCTTTCTCTCTCTCTGTCTATTTTATTTTCTACTCACAAATTTTGTGAAAACAAACTCTAGGGATGGCATGACAGCTCATTAGTAATCACAGAATGTACTCTTTTTACTTTTCTACTATCCTATTCTTAACCAGTGGCTTGTGTCCTCAAGTTTGACTCACAGTCATCATATGACTACAGGACCCCTAATTGTGACTTCTGAATTCCAGACACGAAAAGCAACAGCAAAGGGAAAAGTAAGTAAACCTCTCCAGCTGTCCCAACTTCTTTTAAAGGTATTTACCAAAAATCCTAACTCATTTCCTTTTTCACTATTTATCCTCTCTCCATCTTCATGGGTGCCTGAGCATAGGGCGTTCCTAATAGCAGAGTGATTCAATGTCAATGGAAGATGAGGAGAAATGATATTGGATAGGCAACTGATAATCCTTATAACAGTGTCCTGCATTTCAAAATATTGACTTGGAACCTGAGGTCTCTGGATCATATGTAATCCTACCTCATCTGGATATTGTTTTTCTGAAGAAAAGGAACATACAAACTTCAAAGTAGCCCACATAGCTTTATCTGAGTTCATCTTCTTTGCCAAAAGTAGCAATAAGAGCCACTTATTACTGCATGTAAAGTTTTAAACATTTTCTGCCATTTTCTTTAGTTTTACAATCTCATTAGGCATGTAGTTCATTTTTACATATACATCAAATGAAGGATTAATCAAATGGTCATTATTATTATTTCTTAATGCCAGCTCTGTCTTGTACCACATGAAACTTATCCAACTACTTTCTGACTACCTTCTTCAGCCACATTTCAGTTTGCATTACTATCAACACCTCACTTCTAAATTATGCCTCTTTCAAGAATTGTGTTTAGTAAACACACAAAAAAGTATAACCTTAAAACATAACTGGAGGAAGACAGTTCATGGCTGCTTCTGGTGGCTTCATACTCATTAAACAAATGATGATTGTCTTCCATTCTCAGTATATCAGAAATAAAAGATTGCTGGTTGGACTTCAGCCTACTCTTCCTCATTCTAAAGAAGTCAACAGAAGAATGGTTGACCTGTATCTCTTGATTTATTGCTCACAGACAGTGAATCATGCCTAGTCTCAGTGGCCAGAGCTATTGCAAGAGTGGCTATGACAATTAGTTTTTAGCTGGAAATGTTGGCAAACTCCAGTAACACAAGGATCATTCAATAATTAGGAAGGGGAGACAACATATTGAAAATACAACATGTTCCCATCACATACCCATGTGTACTCACACACTGTGCTTCATCTTCTGCTATTATGAATGAATGTTTAGGCTTCTATATTATGCTAAGACTTCCCCTTTTATACTATATGCCATATCCACATTCACATTTGGTCTACTAAAGAATATAGCTCCTCTGATTCTGTCCTCTTTTGGATAATTCAGGTCTGCTTCTCTGTTAGGTTATATAAATCAGCTTAAAAATATACAACCATTATGGTACAACTCCTGCATCAAAACATGTTTATTATATAAATATCCTCTATCAGCTCACGTTTCATTTCTTTTTTATATTGAGATGTATAATGAGGTGGGCATTAGACATGTGGCTATTTATATTTAAATTAATTAAAGTAAATATAATTAAATATTCATTTTCTGAGTTGCACATTTTAAGTGTTCAGTAGCCACTAGTGACTATCATACTGGATAGTGCAGATTATATATTATTTTCATTTTGTAGAAAAATCAATTATATGAACATATATAATGAAAACATGCAAGTTTCTTAACACCTGAAGAGAATTAAATAGTACATATCAAGACGTGGGAGACACAACAAATGTTCTATGCAAAGGAAAAATTATAGCCTTAAATGCATAAATTAGAAAAGAAGAAAGTTGAACTCTAATGAGTTTAGAAAATCATCAAAAGAATAAACCCAATGATTGTAGACTAAATAATAAGAAAATAAATTCACAAAATGAAAACTAGGCCAACAAAGAGGATCACCAAAGCCAAAAACTGATTTTCCAAAATTAGTAATAACATTTATCAACCTCTTCAGGCTTATCAAGGAACAACAAATGTTAGCCAGAAAATAAATATTAAGAATAAAAATGGGTTTAATGGCATACTTAGTGATTAGAAAGAAAATGAAGGCATGCTATTAATTATTTTGAGTAAATTTAAAGCATAAGCAGAAATATGCAACTATCTAGAAAAATATTACTTACCAGCATTTAATCAAGAATAAATAAAAATCCTGAATAATCATTTAAGTATTAAGTAATTGGTGTTGTGGCAAGTAAAAAAAAGAAGTAGCACTAGACGGTTTTATAGTTTAACTCTATAAAATTCTCAGTAAGTAGATCATTCCAAAACTACAGAAAAGTAGACGTCAGAGATGAAGGGTATTCTGCAAATCATTCTGTTAATTCATTAAACTTAATGCTATACCTGACAAGAGTACAAAAATATACAGAACAATAAACAAAGATGAACAAAAATTTAAAATAGATTACAATTAGTATTAAATTATGTAGCAGTGTATAATATGAACAAATCTAATTTGCCTTAAAATGCCAGGTTGATTAAACAATAGAAATATAATTTACCACAATAACAGATTAAAGGGAAAATTAAAACACAACAATTTTAAAACATAAACATTCAGTAACTATTTATAAAAACTATTCTTAGAGTACTAAAAATGGAACGTAACTCATTTAAATTAACATAGGGCATCTACAAACATAATCCTACTTCAATATTGAAGGAGAAATGTTTGAATCATTCTCTTTAAAGTCAGAAGTAAAATATGAGTATCTATTATTGCCATTTCTGTTCAGTATTGAAATGGGGGTTTAAACCAATGCATTAAGACTAAATAAATACAAAAACTAAATAAATAACAAAAGATTCTGTAAAAAGAAAGCAGAAAAAAACATTATCTAGCAAGCCTATTTTACTGTTCCTTTACGTCTTTGCTCACACGTGTCTTTCTTGTCCATTTCCTGATTGGTTCTATATAGCAGGCATCTACAATTTTCAGATTTCCATGAAAACTGCCTTCCTTGTAGGTGCAGCCAGTGGAAGTGCCTTGCAGAAATTTGGAGTCCAGGAAGACCAAGAAGCCTGAACATTTCTGTCTCTAGTTCTCTCTGTGGTGATACGTCCAGCAGAGACTCTTTCTTTGTGGTGCTAAATTAAAAAAGATAGTTTCTTTCTCTGTGATCATAATTTCTATAGGAAGCCTCCTTAATCCCACTTTCACAAGGTTCTAGCTACTCCTGGAAGGCTTTGGTTTCCATGCACAAATAAAACTATCTTCTTTCATAATCTTATCAGCATAATAAAGTGGCAAAGGATTTTGAAGGTGGCAGAGGTTTTTAGATGTTGCTAAAGCCTGGTTGCTTCACTTTTCCCTGGTTGTTCTTCAGCTTTTCCATCACTTTTGAATCCAATCCCTGGTATTAATGTCACTCTCAGTGAAATAATTGCAGTGATTTCTGTTTCCCTGACTTGACCCTAGTGATACAGATATGATCCAATAAGGAGAAAAGGGAATTCTTAGGACAATGATTAACAACTATGCAACAGGCTGAAGGGGAATTAAGGAAAGACAATCAATTGATCAAATCCTAAAACTGAAGACTCAATAATGTGAGAAAGGATGGTTTTGAAGTGTTTCTTATGCTTCTAACTCAATCTACAGTCAATAAAATATGAAATCTGCACTCCTCGGTGATATTAATTTCAGAGAATCTAACAGCAGCCAACTGTTACTTTCTTGACATGACCTAGTGCAAATTTTTTCTAAAGTTGATGATTGTTCTACACAAAGCGTCCAAAGGATGCCACGTCCTTGGAAGGCAAACTGGTAAAGGAGATATACTTCCAGAAGAGATTCAGAATCTTTCCTTTAAAATGGAAAATATTATTTCAGAGCATGGATCAGAGAGATTTCAAGAGGAAAGTTGCCAGCGGGAAAAAAATGTGGAATTGAGGACATACCAAATAACATGAAAACAATGTTTGTGGGAGGAAATAGGAGACTAGCAACTTCCTGTGTGGCACAGGTGTACTGGAATGTGGAGTGGGCTTACTATGGTCTTCAAGGTTCTAGTAAAAGCAGACTGGGTCCTGGTGGATATCAGAACTGTAATTGATTATGGTCTGTGTCCTAAATAGGTGTGGTTTCATCTTTGTTTTCAACTGAAAGTTGGTAACTCTTCAGTGAACCAAATACTGGAGTCTCCATGTGAATGCATCTTTATGAATTTCAAGATTTTAGAACTTTAGGGACATAATCAGGTGTTATGCTTGTTATAGAAAAACACAATTTTGAAAATGGAATTTTATGTGGATATTAATTTGCTTGGAAACTAATATCTACTCATTCATTAACTTTTATTCATTCTACGAATATATATTGACCCCCTGTTGTGCACTTGACACTTTTCTAGGTGCTGGTGATATGGTAGTGAAACAACACATCAGAACCCCTGGCTCGATAGAGCTGATTCCTGAGTTTGTAGAATAAGATGAAAGATTAAACATCAGATAAAAGCTAAGTATTTTTTTTAAATGTCTCAATAATATGGAGATGAAGGTGGCTACATTTATAAGTCCAATACAAAAAGAAGAAATTTCTTAGCAATGATGCATGGATATGTTAATTTTTTATTATATCATCTTATTTAAACATAGTGGATAATGTATCTCATTTATAACATATTTATTGCATTCAAATTTTGAAAAAAATATGTTTACAACTGTACAGTTTCTACATCACTCCAACTAAAAGTCATAAACACCTCTTTCCAAAAAGACCAAATTTCTCATGATAGCCTTGGTAAATTTCTCATTTATAAAATTTTTTAAATTAATTTCAATGCAGAAAAGTAAGTATAAAAATTGAGGAAAAGTATAATCATGCAACTAGTACTGAATCTGTCTCTCCAAAAATAGAGTAACTTTTATATCTACATGGGAAAAATATTTTTTAGTGTTGCATATTTCTTTAAAATGTCAAATGGAAACTTTTTATTTTTATTTATCCTGCAAAGTTAACTTAAACATTTGAAGATTCATGAATTTTTACATCTGACATCTGCTCAATCCCAGAACATGACTTCAAAATGAAGTAGATCTTGCTAAAGGGAATTTTTAATATTAAAGCATACTTCAGTCTTTCAATATCATATTAATTAAATTCAGGAAATTTATTATGAGGTATATGATATTAACTGTAATATTTTAAAAATCTAGTTTTAATGTCATTTTCCAACATACTAAAGAAAGGGAAATTATTAGTTCAAATTAATAAGATTTTTTATATTACTTCATAATAGAGTATAGTGAATAAAACATCCTTCTATTGGGAGCAATTGCTTGACATTAGGGATATTATTAAACATAAATGGAAGGGAGCAAAGAAGAATTAGCAGCCTTTGTAACAAACCAGCAGACACAGAAATCATGGGAAGAGAATTGCTAATTTAAGACATCTTGTGTGAGTGCTTCAAAGATGGGGAAAACTCTGTAATGGAAGAGAGAAAGTGATTTTAAATTTACTGATTATTTTGCAAGGTGAAGGGACAGGAGAGCCATTAGAGCCACATCCTAAATGGGGCACAATATAGAATAATATTATTTTATAGGCCATTTTTATGATAGAATTAAATCATAAAAATAGCATAATTACAAGTGGAGAAAAAAGCCCTCAAATATATAGATATTAATAGCTAGTTAAAAAAGAAAGGAACTAACATTGAAGGACATTCTCAGATAATGTGTTTGTGGCTTTTTTCTTAAATTACATATATCCAATAATCTATGAAATCATGCAAATATCTTTATAAGTTTGAAACATCACTTTAATTATATTTATTATATATTATATTATTGTTCTGTCAGCTTATTTCCTTTACCTATGTCTACTTAGTAAAGAATTATGTGTGAGAGGTCTCACAGTTTTGCCTACATCCTACAATCGTGTTTGCATCTCTGCATTTTAGGCATATGAGGGTTAATCTAAAATTTACTAAAATCCTTCAGGGATTCTACAACCACTTTTTATACACAGTGTTAACATTTAACATTGTTTGATATTTTAGAAACTAATCATTGAATTAGTATTTTTTAAAATACCTTCAGAGATAAACATAATTTATTATGTTTTTACCAGGTTGTTGCAGTCTAGTCAAGCTGCTGTAACAAAATACATCACCTGGGTGACTGGGTGGCTTATAAACAACAGAAATGTATTTCTCACAGTCCTGGGAGCTGGGAAATCCAAAATCAAGGCGCAGGCACGTGCACTGTCTGCTGAGGGCCCATTATCTCACAGATAGTGTCTTCTGCCTGTGTCCTGATGAGGTAGAAGGAACAAAGGAGCTTTCTTGGGCCTATTTTATAAGTGCACTAATTACATAAGAGGTTCTTTCACCTCGCAAAAGACCTCACCTCCTAATACCATACCTATATGAGTTTTGGTTCCTAGTTTATACTTAATATGAAATTTGAGGGAACACAAACATTCAGGACATAGTATATATCACTATCTTTTTGGTATCTTTTCTAATTAATATTTATAAGCAGTATTGAACATTGTAATGCCTCTAACTCACTTCTATTTTCCTATTTCTCAAATCCTCTTTATTGTGACATTTTTGCTCATTTGTATTTGATTTTTTACTTCTCTTCAAATAATCCTATGTTCTTATATAAAAAGTTGGTTGCTCCATTCTCCCCTCATTAATTTTATTTGTCACATACTAACCTTACTCAGTGCTGCAAGATAAATGCAACTTTCTTAACTGCACCATCAAATAGACCACCTCTTGTAAAGAACTATAAAGCTGTTCATATAAAGTCTAAAACATAATTCAATTTGAAAAAAATTAAAAATAGGTGTTAATATATATGCAAAAAAGAAAAGTATAACTTAATATTTTTTATGAATTTTGAGTCTAAAATTAAATGCTGGTCAACAATAAATTTTTTTATTGTGAAACTAAAAATATTTAAACAAGGTGTCTTACTGTGATACATATTATTTATAATTTGATAGCCCTTACTCTAGTAAAATGCACATTGGATTAATAGTTCAGAAACCGAGGCATGTTTTCAGTTTCTGCTACTATTCAGCTCTTTCACTTTGGAAGTCACCTACATCTCCAGGTCTAGTGCTTTTACAGTGGCTTGAGTAGGAAGACAGCCTGGATTATGTCTTGGCACCCTCAAAAGCAATGAGGCACTGACGACTGTCAATGCAAATATAATATTTATCTATTTATGGAATCCCTTTGTTATTTGCTTTTAAATTTGGATATCTCGCTTATACTAGAAACCAATAAAATAATGAACTGCCACTCTGAAGATTCAGAAAGCTAATCAATCTCCTTTCTGACAAGTATAAAACTACTCCATGTAATCCATTTCATGCTTCACATTCTTTGTCTGCTTTTCAAATAGTTACAAAGCTTTCTACTAAGAAATGTTCTCTTTCACACCCCCTTGAAACAGAGATGCTGAGTAAGTCTTTTAGATATCAGGGCTCTAATGGAATGGCAGCTGCTTGATATATTGTAGGGTTGGTTGAGTAATTAAATAAAACATCTTTTTTTTTTTTTACATTTTATTTTACCTGGTACTGTTGCAGAAGTGGGGGGTGGTTATACAAAGAGACTTATGAGCCAGCCTCTTGCCTTTTAATCACTCACATTCTAATGGAAAGAACCCATAGATATTTAAGCAAGCTTGAAAAATCATGGAAGACTCTGTGTAGAAGGGAATGTGTGAGTTATCAAAAAGCCAATTAGTATATAGTCCATTTAAGACAGAATGACCATTTCAGGAAGAAGATATAACATAAGCATTGCACAAATGACTCAGGTGAGAATAGCACCAGAAGACATATAAATAGCTTTGCATGTCAGGGGCATAGGGATAAGTAGGAGAGATGTGAGGAGATGGAGAGAACAAATCATTAATGACATTTTATATCTTGCTAAAGTTATTGAATTTTATCCTGGGGATTTTAGGTGGAGAAGTGACCCTATCAGGAGTATGTTTGAAAAAGATTCTTGTATCAGCAGCATGAAGGATAGATCTGACAGGGATCTGAAGCAGGATGAACATTTAATAGATAAGAGAGATGCATAGAGCAGCAAAGACAGTGCACATTAGTGAGCCTTCAAAAATGTTTATTGAGTTGAAATGAATTGAAGAAGTTTGTTGAAACTTTCCTTTCTCACGTCTTATTTTTAGAAAATGTCAATAGTAGCTATTCATTGGGTTGCTTCAAAGTTACTCGGCTGAACCCCAGTGAGGGTGTGAGATAGTTGAAGTCTGGGTGAATGACCCATGTCATCACAGATGCTTCAAAAATGTCATCAAACACTCATCTACAGATGGTCCCGTTGTTCCGCGTGGTCTTTACAGGTCCTGAGTCTTATGCTGCAGTCTGATGCACAAAATAGTATTCTGCTTTTTGCAGTGAAATTCAATACGCACCTTAATTATTCCCTTTGCGCTTGGACAAAGGGCATGTCAGTGATTGCACTGACTTTGGTTGTTGTGCACACTCCTTGGTTACTAACTCTGTTTAAAGATTTTGTTTATTTTGTTCTGTGCCATTTTCAGAAAGTTTTGCCAATAAAATAAATCATTTAGCAGTTTCCTCAATAATTTTCAAAGCTAGGATATACCAAAGAAGAAGCTGCTTTCTGATAATTGAAAGCTGACTGCAACATTTTAATTTTTAAAAGATTTTCACATTTTTATAAATGTATCATCATAACACTGTCATATAAATGAAAAGAAATATAATTTTTCCCATGTTGGAAATGAATGATTTAAAGATTGACTTTGGAGAAGTGAGTAAAAGTGTTTAGTTCAAAAGGAAAAAAAAAATCTCACCACTAAATATCACTATTTCAATATCCATAGTACGTCTATTGGTGGTAATATTTTGTTACTTTGGCTTTGGCAATAAAAATATTATTATATGCATAAAATATTTTATATTTTATATTCATATATGTTTCCAAGCCTCATATTCTAAAAAGCCTAAAAACAATGACAAACCCAGTAACACTGACCACCTTGGCAAGCAGACGGTAGCCTTCTATATAGCATTTTACATTCAAATAAATCAGGGGACCCCGAATAACTGATTAAATCTAGATATGGTGCAAAAAATGTACAGAATTGGTCTGAAACAACCTATTATCCTAAAAAATTAAGGAAGATTTCAAAGACTACATATCAAAAGATCTCATGGTACAATTGGAAGAGGATTCTATTGTTAGGACAAGGCAATTTTAGTAGCAAAACAAGTGGCAGTTACTGAAAAATTGATTGACATTAATTAGTGATGAAAATGATAATTTTTTAACTTAATAAAAATTCTTTAATCACATTTGGTGAATACTATGTAACCAATGCATTCTGTAAACTGAGAAAGAAAGGGAAGGACGCTAGCATTCATCCTAATATTCTTATACAACTGCAAGTAAATAATTGATGAAATATTTTTTAAATTAAGAATTCTAGCTGATAAAGAAAAAAGGTTAATAGAATTGTAATATCATCATATTGCACCCACGAATGAAATTGTAGACACAAAAAATTATTATCAATGGCTGCCTAAATTATTATGAGAAATGCTACAGAAGATTAGGCTAACACTTGAACCCACTGTCAATATTAACATTTAAAAAAAAGAAAAGGAAAGTGTACACAGTATTTACATTATAGGAAATACAAATATTTCACTGTAAATCCTATAAAATAATTCAATTTATTTCTTTAATAATAAGAGGAACAAGGAGTAGCAAGAGGGAGTTTGCTACCTGGGAAGGGAAGATGTTAAATGACATAGGAAGTGAGGTGTGGTATGTCAACCAGCTGACGAAGTGCAAGACTTAAATATGTCAGAAGGCTCTAGGTAGCAACAATGGCTCAGAGGCTGTTCCATGAATAGGACATAGACTGAGACTAAGCATACAATTTGTGTGTGTATGTGTGCTCTGGGTTCTGATGGAGACGTCTGGAAGTTCAAGATTTCAGCAGCATAGTTACTGAGGGAATAGATGAGCTATGGAGGCTGCCTCTCTGAGATGTGTTAGGCCACATATATCCAAAAGCATAGAGATCTCAATAAAAATTAAAGCAATTTGTCTAAATCGGGGAGAAAAGTAAGTTTAGGTAATTGCCTCATAACTGTATATTTCAAGAGCAAAGCTTTGGAATCAGTTGTATATATATATATGTGTGTGTGTGTGTGTGTGTGTGTGTGTGTATACATAATATATATGTATATATACATGTATATATATACACGCACATACATATACATATAGTGGAGATATATGTCTATCTGTCTATCTATCTATCTATATTCAAGTTTAGAGATCTAAATATCCAAGTTCTAACGTTATATAGCAGTATGGTCTTGGATTATTTGCTTCATTTCACTGAGGATATTTCTCAACTGTTTAATGAGAACAAACTGTATATATCACAGTAGAGTTGAGATGGTTAAATAAGATACTATATAAAAATGAATATTAAAATATATGTCATATTTTTGGTACTCAATATTTTCAATAGAGAATAGAAAACTGCTTATTTGCTTGGGCTGAGGAAAAGTAAAAGGAAGAAAAATAGGGAAAACACACACTGTGAGAAATGATAGGGAAGACTTGAAAGGAATAACTTCAATGTTACAGGAATAAAATTGGAGGCTCTTGGTTTATGGTTACCAGTCCCTGGTTTATGGCAATAAAGGAACAATGTTGGAAACCAGAAATCCACATTGGATAACATCGATTTGGGGTCCAGACAAGATACAAAGTCATGCAACACTTTCTTGGATATAACTATGATTTCCCACAGTCAGAATATACTCAGATACATGAACATGATTAATCCTGGAGCTGAAAAGATTCTATTGGCCAAGATGACTGGAGCTGATGAGAGAAAACTGAAGAACTGGAGGCATGCCACTGACAGATGTTGCAGATCCTCCAACGTTGCCTCCAGCCCCTCTTGTTGCTTACTAAATTTGTCAGTATTCATTGCGTAAAGGCTGCTGGTTTCTTCTTTTGTCTTGAAAGAATCATGTCTTCTGTTGGCTGCCAAACTGAAGATTTGTTTACATTAATGTTCCACCTGAACTTTATCATAATTGATTTAAACAACATTATCTGGAATCATAGAATGGTGGAATATTAGAAACAGAGCCATCCACAGACATTATGTAATCAACAACACACATTGTACCAAAGAATAAGTGATTTTACTTACTTGTAGTTGGTTAACAGCTTTGCATAAGACCTCTTACTCAATTCTGATCTCTTAAAATGCCTCTTATATTACGTAATCATTATTAATGCCTGGTAGGAGTGTCTGTGAGAAAGACTTGTGGTTTTATGTGATATTATTTTATTCAGAAAACAAAACAAAAACTAAAGCATTTTGTTAATTTGGCTAAATGAATATCTGTCCCACTCTATAACTCGGAGTAACTTCAAATTTATATTACATTAACAAACAAAAATAGATTTAAAAAATTACATACCAGAATTTCATTGTCTCTACTTTGTTCTAATATGAATGTTTCATTTCTACAATAATTCCATTAAGAAAAACTTTCCAAATAAAGGACAGGTAAGGTTTCCTTAGTTAGTATTTTGCTGTATACAGGAATTCAGACAAATAATGATCAGATTTTATCAAAATTCTTGTTCTCATTAAACAGAACACGATTTAAACTATATAAGAAACTCAACTTTACAAATGAATGTTTTTCAAATTTCAATTTGAATGTTTATAATTTAGAACTTGTGCTAGCACAAGGATTCATTACAATATGAATCCTTCTTTTGAAAGAAAATATCTTTTGAGTATATGCTACAGGTGCTGCATAGATTGTATGTCTGTGCCCTTAGCAGCAAAAGAAATCAGAAAACTAAATTTCTTATTTGTATCTTGGAGAAGGATTCATATTGTAATGAACTCTACAGTAAAAAAAGTATGTTTAAAGGTATTAGCAACCCGTGATACATGGCTGCTTCCAATGCCCACCCAAGGAGTACTATGCAATGTTTACAATTTTGGTAGAGACTTTCACTTGGAAGATACAGGTGAGATGCATTGCATTTTTTAGTGGAGAGGGTGGCTTTTTGGTGTCAATGGCAGTTTCTGGAATCCAGTGCTCTGTTCAATTCTGCCAGACATTGTGTCTCTTATCATAGCATCATGAGTGGGGTCACTGCTGAGAGAATCTTTCCATGCCTTTGGTGGGACTCCCTGATAAACTGATTCTGAGATACAGATATACCTGCTATATTTTACCTGGGAGTGCTTCAAGAGACCCATTTATAAAAGCATGAAGGACACAGGATTGGACAGAAAGAGAAGTTGTGCTTTCCTCAAGTTGCATCAGAGCATTTAGCCTATCCCATGGGACATTCAAGAGCTGGGATAGCAATTCATTGTTTTTCCAAATTGAGAAAAGGAGCCCAGACTTTGTATCCATTTTAACCAGTCATCAGATGTGGGTTGATTCTAAAGATAGGGCAGAATCTTAGATGAGGCACCTTCTTTTGGTTGAGGGCAATTTCTTGAGATAGACTCAGCTTTGAGCCTTCAACTTCCAAGACTTCTCCCATCTTAGTCTTGAGGGGAAAATCCAAACAAGGCACCAAAGCAACAACTTTACTGTGTGGTTTGGATGTCTTTTCTGACTGTATCCTCCAAGCCTAGCATTCTGGCTCTGGAGATTGTGAGACTTAAAAGGCTGAGTCACATGTCTTTTGATTTACTGATTAAAACAGTTTATATTTTATGCAAATAATATATCTGGCTGATATAACCTCATGTTTTCTTAATTTATTATAAATTTTTACATTTTTTTATCATGATAACTGAAAATTAGAATGTATCATCAGACATTGCATGCAGAAGCCTTTCAAGATTTTCTAAGGGTTGTTGCTATGAAAATAGGGAACAGCAACAGTCTTCATATGTGTGTTTCTCTTAATCTGTCTTCATATTAGCGATTATAAGTGAATACTAGGTAGCACAGAGGCAATAAATAGCTTATTCTAAGCATTTATATTCTAAGCACTATTGTAAGATGGAGCTTCTACAACAAGTTTTGTCTTTGACCAGCACTAGAATGAAGTAGGAGAACCAGAGTGGGAACGCATTAGTCATTTCTTCACACAAACAAAAGGAGGACAGAAAGAAAGATGAGCTATCCAAATGGCAGCAGCTGGGATAAAATTGAGATACTTGATTTTGTCTTGCTGTTTCTCCTAAAAGACATGTATAAATTAGGTGTAACTAAGCCTGGACTACTCCAGTGGGTTAAACTTGCCAAAATGGTATGATATAATATATATAAAGACTGAAAAATAAAGTGAACCAGGTGAATTTTTTAAGCTAGAAGCTACTTCCGTTTGCTCATTATCTTCTTCAGTCTTGTGGCCTCTCATTCTCCAATTCTGATGTGAGACTATTAAGATGGCAGGAATAGTCTCTTGGCAAGAGTTACAGAGTGTGGGAGCCAGGAAAAAAACAGAGAAAATAGTTTCAGAAAAAAAAAAAAAAAAAACTAACATGTAGGAGACTGTTCTGGAGAACCTTGAGAGTAATCTCAGTAGTAATCGTAGAGGAAGCATTGGCAGGGAGCTTGGATGCTCTGAAGGCCTATGGAGTATAGACAGCACTACTGATTTTCAAGTGATGTGGGCTGCTGATAGAACTATTAAGCTCATGAAGAAAATCTGTGCAGCTCCTGCTGTTGATCCATCTGCAGAAAGTTTTATATGCCAGTTTTCTTAATTAGGGTGGGCAGGGAAAGACACCCTGTTGAGATTAAGTCCACAGCACAATAAAGGAAGAAACTGTTTTTCTTATTGAGCTGCTACCAAAAAATGTGTTAATTATCAAAATAGAAAAAGACTAGGTATATGTGGTAAGTGCAATTGTTAACAAATGCAAAGATTTGAGGTGATCTTTGGAATTTTTATTCAATAAGGAACAGTGCATCCTACTGAGAACGCTTATTGAACTAACTGTTCTAAGTATATTTATTTGATCTCTAACCCTGATTTATCTAGAATTCCACTGTGCCACTGTGTGTTGGGCCTTTTCCTTTTCCACCAAAAAAAGGTATTTATATTATTTTCAACTAGACAAAAATAGGTTCTTTAATTTCTTTAAAATTTATGCTTATGCTAGAAATTGAAGGATGTTTTGAAACATGAGAATCTTGTAAGGACGGAAAGTTACGGCAGTTTTCCTCATCATAAGGGTCACAATAGACACTCCTATAACAAGAGAAAAGCATAGCAAGTTTGTTTAATCAAAGATTTATGTGACACAGGGGACTTCAGAAAATGAAGACCTAAAGATCCAGAGAAAACTTGTCTGTTTTATGATTCGGTTTGATGAAGATTGGACAATTGTGTAGAAATGTGACTGGACAAAGGGTAGGACTAATAGTGATAGACTAAGTGGGGAAGCCCAACAAAGCCTGTCTGTCGAGATTTTCCAGGCCTCTCTGGGTGGCATTCCTTACTCTTAGGTATGGGGTAGGACCCTCTGGAATGAGGATCTTTAAGGGAGAAGGGAAGGAGTGAACTTTCTAAGTTTTATGGCTTAGTTTGCAGGAGAGGGGTTCTAGTTTCTATGACAAATTTTAATGAAGAATTCTGGTTTCTATGACTCACTTCCGGAGAAGAAGGAGGGGCAGGAAACAGGAGGACAGGAGAAGGTGCAATCTTGTTTCTGAAGTCTTCCAGTGTCCTCCTGTTCAAAGTACTCAGCATGTCAAGGCTATGAGCTTTGGGTTATTGTGTTTTGAGTCCCAGCAATATACTATCAAGACAAGAAATGTCTAATACCATGATATCAGATATAAATATTAATAACATAGCCTGGCCAACATGGTGAAACCCCATCTCTACTAACAACACAAAAAATTAGCTGGGCATAGTGGCGTGTGCCTGTTGTCCCAGCTACTTGGGAGGATGAGGCAGGAGAATGGTTATAACTGAGGAGGCAGAGGTTGCAGTGAGCTGAGATAAAATATATATATATATGACAGTCTTTTCCTTTTATTGTTTTTTTACACATATTGGTTTCTTGTAGTTTTATAATCTCA